>NW_017363814.1:0-300000 GCF_000001405.40 Homo sapiens | reverse complement strand
CAATGCAGTTACTCCCAAAAAGTAAACTTGCTGAGTAAAAAGGCACATTCATTTTCATTTTAATAGATTATGTTCTTTAACTTTCTAACAAATGTTCAAATGCTTATTCCTGTCTTTCGTTTCCTTCATTAGCACCCTCCACCTGTTCTAGGAATGAGCAGTTGCCCCATCCCCCCATTGTCCCGTGTTTTCTAACTAAATTGCCTGGACCATATCTTAGATTTCCCATCATTCTTTAATATATGACCAGGATGTATCCCAAATTATCTTCAATACTCCTTTACCTCCTTCTAATCTCTAAAAGTTTAAGCATCCAAGCCATTTATTATTATCCATATTCTCCTCCCCACCCTGCCCAGTTCATCCCTTAGTTTAAATCAATCTCTTACTGATGTGGTTTGGATCTGTGTCCCATCAAATCTCATGTCGAATTGTAATCCCCAGCGTTGGAGGTAGGGCCTTGTGGCAGGTGTTTGGATCATGAGGGTGGATTTCTCATGAATAGTTTAGCACCATCCCCCTCCGGTACTGTTCTCCTGATAGTGAGTGAGTTCTCATGAGATCTGGTTATTTAAAAGTGTGTAGCAACACCCCTCTGCCTCCGCCTTCTCTCTTGCTCCTGCTCCTACCACTTAAGATGTCTTGCTCCCCCTTTGCCTTCTGCCATGATTGGAAGCTTCCTGAGGCCTTCCCAGAAGCTGAAGCTGCTATGCTTCCTGTTCACCTGCAGAGCCATGAGCCAATTAAACCTCTTTTCTTATAAATTAATCAGTCTCAGGTTTCTTTTTTTATAGCAATGTGAGAATGGACTAATACACCTACCTGCCTTCTCTGCCCTTCGAAATGCTTCTACCATGCCCTTTGGAACTCGTGGTCCATTATTTAGCAAACTCCTTTATGAACTTAAGCTGGTCTCTGATTGTTTCTTTAACTTTCGGCCCTGATTAAAACAACCTACCCCACAAGGATACCCGTTCCTTTCTGCACTCTCACAAGGAAGCCCATAGTCCACCAATCACAAGCTGACAGGAAGTGAGTTGGGTGCCCTGCTTGTTGCCCAGGGCAGCATCCAAATAATTTCTACTCCTTTCTCCATCAAAAACGAATCCCTTTTGAAGTTCTTGTTGTCTGACTATACCATAGATACTTCTCCTCTTTTTTTTTTTTCCTGTCATGACTTAAACCTCCTTATCACTTAGGACTTTCACACTTTGTTCACAGTCTTCCTCTTCACCAGTTTCCTCATCATTCTGGGAGACTTTACTATCATTTGCTGAACAACCCAGCACCCTGAGCCTCTCAGTTCCTTGACTTTCTCATTTCCAAGGATTGTCACCAGTAATTGCACAGCTTTGATATCTTGGCTTCAAGCATGCTGTTCCTGATAAACATTTTTATCTTTCTGTCTAATTTACTGTAGCACGTCCACTTTAATCAATAATTCTTCTCCCATGTTAAGATCATTGATTTGTTACCCATCACTAAAGTCACTCAGTTGCAAACTCCCTTTAGTTTTCCCATTCAATAGAACTCTCCTGGTAAAACCCCAGCCCTACGTAAATCTGACGCTGCATTTTCTGCACTGCCATCTCAGCAGCTGAAGTACTTGGAGAAAAATAACAGGTCTGCTTGAGAGAGAAAGGTCTTACCTTCCTACCACCAAATCCACTAACCTACCTGCGTATCAGCTCACATTCTTTGCTTTCTTTTCTATTATCTTTTTAGAGATGTCCCTGCTTGCATCAAAAGCAAATCTCTCTACTGTTTAGGGTCCCATCCATTCCAGCCTTCTTACAGATAACATTTCTATAATGATTTTCTCTTTTTTCCTGCATCATTAATTTATCAAGCTCTTTTGGATGACCCTCATAAGCATACAGGGCATAATAATAGTCTCTATCTTAAAAAATACTCTGGATTCCTTTTGATGTCATGTACCTTTTCAGAAAACCATTTTATTCTTCTTCTTTCTTCACAGCAAGTCTCCTAAAATAGTGGTCTCCATTTCCTCACTTTTCAATCTTTATTTGATCTATTTTTCCCTCTCTACCTCTTCTATAAGACTGCTTTTCTCTACATGGTTACTGTCGTGCCATAACCTGGGATTCTTTATTTATTTTTATCTGATTCATCCTCTCAATGAATTTGAAAATATTCTTTAGATGCTGCTTCTCTTGGATTTGGTGATGTCACAACTTATGTTTCTTTTTTTTCCCCTTTAAGAAGCTGGAACCTCATTTCCTTCCACCTTTGTTTATTGAATCATGAAATATAGACTGGAGTTCATTGACATAGAAAGCTCACTGGAATGAAACCACAGCTCACAAGAGCTGAGAGATGTGAAGGAGAGATGTTATTAATATTCTACTATTCAGGAGTCCCAGAAGGCAAGAACAAAGAGAATGGAAAGCAGACAATTACCAAAGTAGAAGTAACGGTAGAAAATGTTCCCTACCTGCTGATTGCCCTAGGCGACCCTCCTGCCTCCAATATTATATGTTTTCAAGCTTGGAGCTTTCCCAAACAACTTTCATCTTTTATAGTATAACTTGAAGAAATTGGGTTTCCTACCATAATCCTCACAATTAAATGCTGAAAATGAAATAAAAATGCCACATGAATCATCAGTGGAAAAAGAAATGATAAGACAAAATTAAGACATACTCATGCATGGAATTTATGGGATGTATTAGCTACCTATTGCTGTATAACAAATTATTCCTGAATCTAGCAGCTTAAAATAGCAAACATTCATTATCTTATATAGTTTTTAAGGGCCAGGAACCTGCAAGTGGCTTTGCTGGGTGGCTCTGACTCAGTCTCTCATGAGGTTGCATTATCGAAACAGTTTCCATGAGCTGGACAAAAGTTTAGCTACACAGCATTGGGAAGTGCACACTCTAAGTGGATGGAGAAAATTAGTTTAGATCAGCTATTCCCGCACTGTGTTCTGTGGGAAACTGGTTTCCCAATATGTTTCTTTCAAAGAGCATTCTGGGGCCTAAAAAGAGTGGGGAACACCTCAGAACTCACTCCCTCTAGAAATGTATGTGCAAAAGGCTCTGTGAGAAGTTCTGAGGCATAGAATGCATCCACTTAACTTGGTGAATTCAGCATTTTCCCCCCTTTTTGTCTGAGGAAGTTCTCTACCTTTTTTGTAAAGATGCATCTCTTCTTCCCTATCCCAGATACCTCTTTCTAAAATCTAGATTTGATCTTGTCATTTCATTGAGGATAGCAATAGTTGTCCCATGTGGGTGTTTAAGAAGACAACATTAGAATTCTGTCCTTTTACATTTTAGTTTTCTGATATTTGTAATATAAGTAATACATTAGCACAGTAAATGTATATACAGTTTATTAACAGATAAAAAATATATATTAAGAATGTACACACCACATTTTATACTGATGGAGTAGAATAAATCTGTCCTCTTTAGCACTTAAATCAGGTGAGAGGAATCTGACTGCCAAGCCTGTCCTCTGGATTCTGCCCAGCCTCTGTCACTAAATGCCCAGCCCTCTCTAGCCCCACTAGTGTGCTTACCCTACCGGCAACAAAAATGTATTGTTGGCCAGGCATGGTGGCTCATGCCTGTAATCCCAGAACTTTGGGAGGCCAAGGTGGGTGGATCACCTGAGGTCAGGAGTTCGAGACCAGTCGACCATCTCTACCAAAAATACAAAATTAGCCGGGTGTGGTGGTGTGTGCCTGTAATCCCAGCTATTCGGGAGGCTGAGGTAGGAGAATCACTTGAACCCGGGAGGCGCAGGTTGCGGTGAGCCAAGATCGTGCCATTGCACTTCAGCCTGGGCAACAACAGAGAAACTCCATCTCAAAAAAAAAAAAAAAAGTATTATACGTTTTCCACTTTGTGCATCTAACATTTGCTTATTTTTTACAGCACTGCCTGATTTAGGATCTTTGTTCTTAAATATCTTAAGCTGGGGCAATATTCATTTCTTCATATTTTCCCCACTTTTTCATTACTTCTCTTACCTCAACCCTAAGTGACCTCTTGAATTTGAGGAGAAATAAAAAAGAAAGAGGAAGGGGAAAGGAAAAGGGAAAGCAAAACTGAGAAGAAAGGCAGTTTCGAGCAGCAGCAGGGTCTGTGGCAGAGGTGAAGGAATATTTTCTATAAGCTTATCACCAGTGTGCAGTCCCCTCTTACTACGTCGAACCTGGAGACATACAGGTTACTTAGGGTGGCTGCAGATGTAGGGCGACCCTGCATTTTAAGCATAAAGGCCAGATAGATGAACTTGCATTGTTCTTTGTGGAATCATAACCAGCCCCATTTCTCCTATTCTAATTGATACCCGGCATGGCTCTGGCACTTTATTCAACTCAGAACATGGAAAATCAGACTATTTCTAAATTATTTCCCCATCATTTTTTAGTCCTCAAAGCCTGGAGTACAAGGGACCTCAGAGCTCAGAGCTCAGAGCAGGACAGCCGTTTCTGGGTTTGTCTTACCTTCCTCCCATACAATCTTCATTCTTGCCCTCCCTCTCTCCCTGTCAACAAGTGCTTCCTCTCTGCATGGCAGCAGTTCTCCCTCTGTCCCTTGCCAAATCTTCTTCCTCCTTGTCATTTTTCCTCCTTGCTCTGTGCCTCCCTGCCAGAGTAGAAAAAGGAAACAAAAAAGATGAAGAGGGGGAGGATACATGAGTGAGAAAACCCAGGCTGTTGTGACTTACCAAGGATTTTTGTCAAAGATGAAAGTGTCAAAATGTACCAGATAGAAACAGAAAATGGTGCTTTAAAGTGGGAACATGTGTTTTACTTTAGAAAAGTAAAAATTGCAGAGGATTATTTTCTTCTATTTCATTTGCTCTCTTTCTCCTTGATTTTAGATGGAGGCAACACCAAAAAAGCAGTATGGGATCCACTTCTCACTACTTTAGGTGCTGCATTCCCTTCTAAAACTTGAAAAATTCAGAATTCCCAAACAAATCTGGCCCCCAGGATCTGGGATGAGTACCTGCACTGCTCCTGTCCTCCTTCAGGCCCCATCCACTCTGGACTTGATTCAAAGAGCCTCCTCCTGCCCGTTCTCCCTCCTTCCACCCTGCTGCTCTTCGGTCTGTTCTGAACACTGCAGCTAGAGCAGTGTTAACATCTCAGTGAAATCAGGCCACTCTTGTGCTCAAAGCCCTCCTGTGAGGAAGAACCATGTCCTTCCAGAGACCTGCAGAGGTCCCTAGGACTCACTCCTGCCTCTCTGAGCTCAGCCCTTCCTGCTTCCTTGCTGCGGCTGAGCAGGCCTGAGAGGTACACCACGTTCCTGCCTTAGGGCCTTTGGCTCTGCTCTTTCCTCTGCCTGTTATTCTTTCCTTTCTGGTAACTGAAGTCTAGCTGCCTCATGTGGGTTGGTCTGCACACCAATGGTACCTTCCTAGTGAAGGCTTCACCAGGGCACCCCCCTGCCCATGCTCCCTCACACCTTCTTCTTAGCACTTACCAGCATTCACTTAAAAATTATCTTAGGGATAAAAGTGATTTTGATTTCTTTTTGGACATCAGGACAAATTTCCTTGAATGTATTTGGCCTCTACTCTGAAATTTTTGCCTCACAGCTGCTCTAAGTGGAAATCTCATTCCATGCTTAAGAATCAGCAGTGAAGTGTACATACCATGCTGTTACCTATGAATTCATACATCAAAGTTGAAAATAAAATGAATATAAAGACGTGTTTGTGTGTGTGTGTGTCTGTGTGTGTGTGTATATATACACACTCTTTTGAAATGACAAAATGTGTATGTATGGGGGTGTGTGTATATGTGTATACACACATATACATATACAAACCCCCACATATTCAAATTCTGTTGTTTCAAGACTATTGTAGGGCCATTGTCAATTATTCTACATCCTAGTGTTCAGCAAAAACCCATTTGTAATCACCACTCATTCATCCACCAGGGTGGGCTAAGTGCCCAAGCCTTTGTTCGTGTGGACCTGGAGGACGTGAATGATAATCATCCTGTGTTTAACCCATCAACCTATGTGACGAGCATCAGTGATGAGACCCAGCCAGGCACCGAGATCATCAATGTTCTTGCCACTGACCAGGACTCTGGGATATATGGGACAGTGGCTTATGAGCTTATTCCAGGAAACGTGTCGTCCCTTTTTACCATTGACTCCACCACAGGTATGTGATCTTGGAACAGTTTTCATCCTTTGGCTATAAAGTTTCTGCTTAACTACTTAACAGCCAGAAAATTAGAAAAAGTGACTTTTTTTCAATAATGGGGGTGTTGCAGGACTCACTTAACCTTCTAGCAGATGCTGAAGTATATTGAAAATGGCTGAGGCTTTGTAGTGGGTTAGACCTGGATCTGAGTCCCAGCTTTGCCTACTACTGATCTTGTGGTCTTTATTGGCCTCACTGTCCTTACCTTAAAATTGGTGTTGACTGGGTGCGGTGGCTCACACCTGTAATCCCAGCACTTTGGGGGGCCGAGGTGGGTGGATCAAGAGGTCAGGAGTTCAAGACTAGCCTGGCCAAGATGGTGAAACCCTGGTTCTATTAAAAAAAAAAAAAATTAGCCGGACGTGGTGGTGGGCGCCTGTAATCTCAGGTTCTCAGGAGGCTGAGGCAGAGAATTCCTTGTACCTGGGAAACCGAGGTTGCAGTGAGCTGAGATCACGCCACTGCCCTCCAGCCTGGGTGACAGAGAGACTCCGTCTAAAAAAAAGAAAAAAAAAAGTACTGTTATCTGGGCTCTGTGGCTGACTCCTGTAATCCCAGCTACTTGGGAGGCTGAGGTGGGAGGATGGCTCGAGGCCAGGAGTTTGAGGCTGCAGTGAGATATGAAGCTATGATCAGGCCACTGTCCTCCAGCCTGAGTGACAGAGCAAAACCCTGTCTCCAAAAAAAAAACAAAAAAGTAACACTGATAATATCTATGTTGCAAAGTTTTTGTGAGAGAACTAAAGACAGTAATTTATGTAGAAACGGTTGGCCAGTATTTACCTTGCAAATGTTAATTTCCCCTTATTTGTATGATCATGCCATCTGAGGGTGACTCGAGGGTGACTGAGCCTCATTTGGATGTATTAATAGCTAAGATTAGTGCAAAGACATTTTTACAGGCGTCCAAAGTAGATCCTTTTTTTTTGTACTAGGTCTGGCATTCCCTTAGTCTCTTTGGGTTTTAGTTTCCTTGTTTTAAAAATGATACCTAAAGCTCCTTTTAGTTCTCTACAATGGTAATTGCATATCTGCCAAAGAATCCCAGTGGGCAAGCTGTCTTTTAGAAATCATGAATATTTAAGAAGTTACCTTCCATTTTCTATTCATTAGCTTGTTGCTAACAAAATATTGGTTTAAATATTTGATTATAAGAAAATAAAACATTTCAAAAATATAATATGACATTACAATACTTTTGAGATACTTAGAGATACTCTGGTCCAAAAATGAGGCTGCAAAAAAAGAAAAAAAAAAGAATTTTTTTCTTTTGCATTTTTCCACCTGATCCAAACAGTGGGTAGAATGTGTTTCTATTGTAATGGTAATGATAATGTCAGATGCTACACTAGACATTTTCTGTACATTGTCTTATTGGATCTTCACAACATGCTTTGTAATAGCCATATACGGTAGAAACAAATGATAATTTACACAGGAAATCTAATGTGCTATGTGAGTGTGCCCTCTCACCCAGCCCCATTAGGTAGAGAGCCGCTGCTTCTGCCTGGAAACTGTGCCTTGTCTGGCTTGTGCAACTGGCCAGGGATTAGTTGTTTATACTGGCAGTCTTTGTAAGGCAAAACTTTCCTTGCTCAAAATAATACACTGATGTGGCCCCTTTAACATTTCAAAGATCAGAAGAAAATACTTTTGCGGGAAATTAGTCTGTTTAATCTCAGCTTTTTCAAAATTCATCTTAACTGAGGACTTAACTGCCTATCAAATTGTCAGGCCCTCTAGGGCACTAGCATTGCCAAAAATATATAGGTCAGCCAGTAATCAGGGCACAGGATCTAAAAGCATTTAACAGATTGTTTTAAAAAGACATTCACACACTCGTCATTCAGTTTTCCCTGGAAGATCTGGAAGAATGAGTTATACTGTATTCTGTTTTTAGAGGAGATCTCTCTTGCTGTCCTGGCCGAAGCCAGACTCATGCTTCCCTTCCTGGCAGCGACTATAGCACAAATGCCATTGTTAATCATGGAAAACACTCTGTGTGGGTGATTATCTTAGGGAACTTTCATGGAATTTTATTTTTAAGCAAAGACCAAATTTATATGGAAATAGCCTTGGGTTCTTATTGTTGGCGGTTTTGATACCCGTGTATTTAGATTGAAGACATTTCTCAGTCAAATAGTGCTTGGAATTTGGTCGCACTTAATCATAACTCATGAGAAATTCATGAGGACTGGTAGTGCTTTACTTTAACCTTTAGAAGAGAATGAAAAAGCATCGTGACTAGCTATGGGAAAAAGTTGTCCGGTGAACAGGCAGCTGCTAAGTTGAATGGTTGAGTTCTGAAAGTTCATCTGTTGGTTGACAGCAACTGAAAACACATTGTATATAATTATGGCGTACAAGGTGGTGTTTTGATGTATGTATATTGTGAAGCGATTAAATCAAGCTGGTTAACATAACCATCACCTCTCACACTTAGAATTTTTTGTGGTGAGAATATTTAAGACCTACTCTCTTAGTAATTTTCAAGTATAGAACATATTATTATTAATACATTATTATTAATGCTATAAAGTAGATCTTCAGAACTTACTCATCCTGTCTAACTGAACCTTTGTAACCTTTGGGCAACATCTCCAATTACCCCAGCCCTTGGCAACCACCATTCTACTCTCTGTTTCTATGAGTTCAGTATTTCTAAATGCCACATGTAAAAGTGAGACCATGCAGTATTTGTCTTTCTGTGCCTGGCTTATTTATTTAGCATAATGTTCTTGAGGTTCATCCATTATTGTCACAAATGATAGGCTGTCCTGTTTTAAGGCTTAATAGTACTCTATTGTGTATATATACTACATTTTCATTATCCATTTATCTATGGATGGACCCTTTGGTTGATTCTATATCTTGGCTATTGTGAATAATGCTGCAATGAACATACTAGTGTAAATATATCTTTGACATACTGATTTTTTTTCCTTTGGATATATACTCAGAAGTAGACTTTCTGGATCATATTTTAGTTCTATTTTTAACTTTTAAAGGAACCTCCATACTGTTTTCCATAATGACTGTAACACATTTTCTATACAAGGATGTTCTCAAATAATAGAACAAGAAGCAGTATTAGAATATACAGTTGATTCTTGAACAATGCAGAGGGTAGAGATGCTAACCCTCCACATAGTTAAAAATCTGTGCATAACTTCTGACTCCCCCAAAACTTAACTGCTAATAGCCTATCACTGACTGGAAGTCTTACCCATAACATAAATAGTGGGTTAACACATCTTTTGTGTGTTTTATGTATTATATACTGTATTCTTACAATAAAGTTAGCTAGAGATGGGAAGTTATTATTAAGGAAATCATCAAGAAGAGAAAATATATTTACTATTCATTAAGTAAAGGTCTTCATCCTCATCATCTTCATGTTGAGATGGCCGAGGAGGAAGAGGAAGGAGAAGGGTTGGTCTTTCGGTCTCGTGGGTGTCGGAGGTGGTAGAGACGGAGGAAAGGGCAGGCAGGAGAGGCAGGCATACTTGTAACTGTTATTGAAAACTATCTGTGTATAAGTGGACTCACGCAATTCAAACCCATGTTATTCAAGGCTCAACTGTAGTCTTCCTCTTCTGGATATTTTCTTTCAGGAATCTACATAAAGCTGGACTTTCTTGCTCCCATCATATGGCCGATCTCTACAGAGGCTGCCAGTGTAAACACAGTCCTAAGAAAGTGCCCCCATCATATATTTGTGGAATAAATGAATAAATAACATCTAGAAATATTGCAAAAGTAACTTAAATCCTTCCTACAGCCTCTTAAAAATTTCATGGGAGTTTCATTGATATATGGAGCAAAACTTTATTTAAAATCCTCTTTCTGAATCACAGCATGGTAAGTGACTCTATGGCCTATCCCCACGTTTCCTCAAAACTCTCCCTAGACTTTCTCTCCAGCCTACCTGTGCTGGCACTTTACTTTTTGTTACCTCCCTTTGTCTCTGGATTTTTCTATTCTCTTCCAGAATACCTGTCTGGCCTTGACAATGGGAATTGTTCAAGCTAGTCTCAACACCTTTTAATTTTCCTTCTTCCTTTTTATCCTAAGTTCTTATATAGGCAGGTTGAGATGTTATGTCATATGAGAAGAAGATTGAGAATTGATGAGCCCATTTATACATTGCTACTTCTTCCTGAATTACTCTAGAATTCTCTCTTAGAGATTTCATTTGCACACTGGTTCATTCATTCTTTCATTTTGATGCTTTCTTTATCAGACATGCTATTTTATAAACTTACATGCTTTCTGTTATAGGCTTGTGTTTTCCTGAAGACAAAAGATTTCTCATTGATCTATTATGCCACAACCAAGACTCATGCATTTAAAAATAGAGCTGTTTGACTTACTGTGTTCATCTGGTATGAAAAATGTTTTGGAGAAAACTAGAAGGGGGTGTGGCGATGTCATGGTTGTTTTCTCTTGTGGGTTTATCTTCCTGTTCTGTTTCTAGTTTTCTGGGTTTGTTGCTGGTTCAAAGAACATTTTTGTAAAATGTGTTTAGGCGCCACGAGAGAGATACTGAGTTGAGCCTTCATTTCTCTTATTCTTAGTTCACTGGCTTTCTTTGATGTGGGCACAAGGCAGACCACACTGTTTTGAGTTTTAACGGGAAGAAACACAAGAGACATATTTATTAATAGCTCTTTTTTCATGTATTTTTAATCCCATTTTGTGAATTATATGTAGATTTCTTCCTCCATCGTTTGAAGTGCTCTCTTTAGTAACATTAAAAGAGCAGTTCTTTAGCTTTGGGGTTTGTCCTATTTATTCTGTAGTTTTACACTGGAAGAAACTACTTTTTTTTCAACTTTTATTTTAGATTCAGGGGATACATGTGCAGGTGAAGTTACCTGGGTATAATGCATAATGCCAAGGTTTGAGGTTTGAGGAATTCAGATCATTTTAAGGCAACAGGCAGGTTTCAAGCTTTTGTGCTGGTCATTTATTTTCATCCCAAACTATCTCTTTTATTCAGGCAACCATTGGTTAAATCTTGTGGTTTATCTCTTTTTCTATAGAAGCATGTTAATGATATAAATGCAAATCAATAAAAGTCATAAACAGAATGTAGCTTATCTATTCAAGGAATAAATGGAAGCCAGTTCATCTGTTCAATACATATTTATTCAGTGCTTATGATGCAGCAGGCCGTGTTCTAGGTGTTTGGGATACATCAGTGAATAAAACAGACAAGAATCCCTGCTCTTGTAGCACTTACAGCAACAAGCTTATGTGGCTTAGCCTTTGTCTGTTCTATGTTTAGTTGTGGTGTACACAAAATCCAAGTTTAGCACTACAGAAAAACAAGTAATTGAAAGGATATCAAACTGCCAGACAAGGGCAGCTGTTCCTCAGTGTTTAGTTGTAATCTTTTGTTTGTATGGGGTGTGTGATTTTAACATAGACTGTAAGTAATGTAGTACAGACTTGTTTTCTGTATTTCAAGGGCAGATTCTTTTCCAATGTTAGTTTTATGCTCAGATTTTATACCATGTAATGATTCTTGTAATTCTTCACAAACGCCACCTTCCTACATTTAACGTTGAACATTCTGGTATACAGTTAATAAATTAATACCACACCTCATTTCATAAGGGATGTGAGCCTGTTCCTGCCAAATAAATGATGACTTTCTCTTATTTGCAAGACAGAGTCTAAAATTAATCATGAGCACCTAATCAGTGTACGTTACTTTCATAGGAAACAAAAGCATGTTAGAGAATTTCTTCATTAGGTTTCTCGTACCAGATCACAGACTTATAAAGATGGAAAGAACCTTACAAATTAGCTGCCTCATTTAGTGGAGGAAGAAATTGAGGCTGGAAGGGATTTGATGACTTATCTAAAGGTACACTGTTGGTGATGGTGGCATTGGACTTGAATCCCATTCTAAACCTGTGATCTGTTCCTGTGCTGCTCTGTCTCAGATAATAATAGTTTTCAGTGTCTTTTCCATATGTAATATTGCCTATTTGAGTCTTACATTAATTACATGGGATAAACATGGCAAATATTTTTATGTTCATTTGCAGATTAAGAGACTGAAGACTCTAAAATTCTTAGTGACTTACTCAAAGACACAGTAGTAAACCTGACACTTGAATTTACTTCTTGCACTTCCATTTCAAGGCTTGTTTCATAATTATGACTTAAAAAAAAACACTAAAGATGAAGCTAAGATAAATATAGGTTCTACTGATTCAACTAAATAAGATAGAAAAATGACCTCTCATTGTGACAGGAATTTCTTTATAAGACTACCTAAACACCAAATTATCTGTTGAATTTTATTTACTCTTTCCAATTGAGTAAGTAGAACTCAGTGGACTTTTCCAAAACAGGTACATTTTTTTCTTAAGAATTTTTTAAAATTCTCAATATGAGATAGAATTTCAAATCCATTCTAGTTTTTTCAGCCAATACTACTTAGTCGCTAAGATTTGTGTGCAAAATAAATAGCACAGTGTAATCTATTTGGTAAATAAGTTTTTATATTCTCACAAACTGAATATAGGAGATACTTCATAAATATCTACAACTAAGAAGAAAATGGTATTGATATCCTGTAGCTTTTGGTTTGTATCTGTTTGTGAGAGAACCTCACTTTTAAACTCCGTATCTGTTGAAGGTCATGATTTTGTGCTTATTTTTGTTGCTAACTATTTCATGGCTTATAATTTTAGTAATGATTTACTGATTATTTTCTAATTATGAATTGCTACCTTGGTTAAAAATTCCATTTTCCAGGATATTTTATTCTGAAAGTCAGTATTGCTTAGTTAGTAGAAGAGCATGATTATGTACGTATATATATATCTTTAAGTTCACTTAGTACTGCATCTGTTCAAAACATTTTTTGATTACAACAGTTTCCTCTATTTAAATAAAAAGTGACAAGGTGAAGAGCATAGACAAACATTATATATGATAATTGGTATGTATAAATCCAAGCAGTCATTAAAATAGAAAATAACCAGTGCTCTGTAAGTTAATTAATGACGTTTTTTAAAGTTAATGTTTGTCCCTGCACTGGTGGTTAATTACCATTTGCAAGTGTCATGAAAAATGTGAGCTAAATAATCACTGTACTTTAAAGTATTAAAATATAGTGTCATAAATTTTACTCTGACCAATATATAGGCAAAGAGAGTTATTCATTTTATTTATGATTTTATTATTTATTATTAATAAATAACATGAATTATGATACACACATATATTACATATATGCATATTTATATATAGTAAACAATTAATAACAAATATGGGAGTTACATGTTTTCTAGCCCCTCAACTTCTAATAGAGAGCTTAGTTTATTTAAGCATGTTGGATTCAAATATACAATTACTAGTCAGTTATACTCAATAAAGTTGAAAAAAAAGTTAGATTCAAGTAAATAGGTTTTCTAGCTCCTGTTTATATATAAATGTTTAAAAAAGTGAATGTTTGAAATATTCAGCATATATAATATAGAACAACAAGCTTTATCCTAATACTTCCCTTCTTTTCTAAGTGATGAGTGTTCATTCAAAGAAATTTAATGAACCTAGATGTCCATGCCTAACATTTGCCTCTCTTTGTCCCACTTTTCTTAAACTTATAAGCCACCTTTTGGATCAGCACATTTTTCAAAGATATTTTTGTATTTCAAGTACAATTAAGTTTGTAGGCCACAGAGTCACTGTCTCATGAAGGTGCCTGTATTTCTTTCATGAAAAAGAAATGCTAAGGGCAAACTTTATGTATTGATTATAGTAACTTCTGCAACTAGTGTAGGGCTTCCAAAGACAATGCTGGAAAATCTAAAACAGTCAGGCAAGAGAGCATAAATAAGATGGAACTTGAGCACAACCTTGCAGGATAGCTCAGATTTGGATAAGCGAGTTGGGAAAGAATAGATAGATTCCAGAGAGGAAAACAACACACATGAAGATAGAAATTATTAAGCATTTGTAATGAGAAATTAAAATATAAGTTTGGACTGAGAAACTAAGATACATACAAATTCTACATTCCACAGAGACTTTATGCAAGATTTACAAAGGAGATCCACCTTGTCAATGGTATAAAATGTTGATAATTTGGAGAGAGCTGCTGTTGATTTGTGGGTACCAGAATGGGGTACCAGCACCTTACCAGCTACTCAGAGAACTTACTATGTATTCCCTGCAGTCTGCTGGCTAACTGTAGGCTCATGTCTGATTCTCACCTGAGAAATCTGAAGAAAGGAAAGACTGACAGAATAAAGGAGAAGTTTCTTAAGTGGAGACACACTACATTCCAGGAGTTTGTAGGTGCAAAGAGTATTTAAGTTTTTCTTCTGAATATGGATCATTTTTGAGGGAGAGCTAGTATAGAGTTGTTTTTAAGCCCTGTCCAGAAAGGGCCATACTGCAAGTGATCAGCAACCATCTGGGGCCAGTGGCATGAGCAGTAAGAAGAATTTACCAAGACAGTTTGTAGGTAAAGAAAGGCAGGATTATTCAAGAAAGTATGAAAATACATTGCAAGTGTACAATGGGCAGGTCAGCAAGAAAGGAGCTGACTGTAAGGAGACAAAAGCTTGCTGGGGATTTTGTGTGATGTGCTAAAGAAGGCTTTGTGCAGTACTGATAACACCAAGGTTGCAGTGAACTAACCTGCATTTTACTCTCATCCAAGGGTCTGGTGATAGCTGGGCTCAGAAAGATTGTGAATTATTTGCACAAGAGTGCTACGTGTCCTGGACTATGAAGAAAGGCAGACTTATAGCTTACCTGCTTTTTCTTTTTGCTTTTCCCTGCTCCCACCAGCCTGGCTCCTTTTCCCTAATTAGGACTCTATAGTCCAGAGGTAGAAATTCTGAGTGCTGTCAACTTTTCAGCAGACAAGGAAGTAATGAACAGTTTAGAGATGTTTTTACCTCTGCTAAGGCACTTCAAGTAGAGGTTAGCCTTCTCCAAAAAAGCCAGAGTCAGAAGCATTCACCAAAAAGGCCATGAAAGCACCTATATGAGAAAGTGAGTTTTAAACAACTTCGCAGGCCAAAGGTTCGTTGATGTTAGATTATTTTACTAGCGCTTGTCAAGAAAGAACATTTCTGGGCCTCTCTCCTCCTCTTCTCCCTTGCTTTAATCCTGGATGATTCAGAGATTTAGTTTAACAAAAAGATGAAGGAAGAAAACAACTACTAGATAAGGAAAGAGAGAAGCCAACTACTTCTGACCTGTAGCCTGTGCTCCTCCAAACTTAAAAGTAAGTTTAGAATTTGGATTATTATGTGGTCCTTTATATTTAATTTTAGTCATGCATTGCTCAAAGATGGGGATACATTCTGAGACATGCATCATTTGGTGATTTCGTTGTTGTGTGAACATCATAAAGTGTACTTACATAAATCTAGATGGCATAGCCCAGTACACACCTAGGCTATATGGTATAGCCTATTGCTCCTAGGCTACAAACCTATGCAGCATGTTACCGCATTGACTACTATAGGCAACTGTTTCACTATGGTAAGAATTTGTATATCTAAACATAGTAAAGGTAGAGTAAAAAGGGAATATTAAAGATTTAAAATGGTACACCTGTATAGGGCACTGATTATGAATAAAGCTCGCAGGACTGGAAGGTGTTCTGGGTGAGACAGTGAGTGGTGAATTAATGTGAAGATGTAGGACATTACTGTACACTACTGTAGACTTTAGAAATACTACACTTAGGCTACATCAAATTTCTTTAAATTTTTTCTTCAAAAATAAATTAACCTCAGCTTATGATAATTTTTTAACTTTATAAACTTTAATTTTTTTAAGTTTTTGACTTTTTGTAGTAACACTTAGCTTGAAAGACAAACACATTGTATAGTTGTACAACCATATTTTCTTTCTTTGTATCCTTATTGTATAAGCTTTTCTTTGTTTTTAATTTTTTTTAACTTTTTAAACTTTTTAATTAAAAATGAGACACAAACGCACACATTAGCCTAGGCCTACACAGGGTCAAGAGCATGAATACCACTGTCTTCCACCTCCACATCTTGTCCGCTGGAAGGTCTTCAGAGCCAGTAACACACATGGAGCTGTCATCTCCTATGATAGCAATGCATTCTGAAATATCTCCTGAAGGACCTGTCTGTGGCTGTTCTACAATTAACTTCTTTTTTCAATCAGTAGAAAAGCACTCTAAAATAATAAAAAGTATGATATAATAAATACATAAACCAGTAATATGGCCATTTATTATCATTATCAAGTATCATATGCTTAATTATGTACTTATGTACATAAGCATGTGCCATACTTTTATACAACTGACAGTGCAGTAGGTATATTTACATCATAACCACAAGCAGATGAGTAATGCATTACATTATGACATTAGGACTATTATGACATTATTAAGTAACAGGAATTTTTTAGCTCCATTATAATCTTATGGGACCACCATCGTAAGTGCATGGGCCGTTGTTGACCAAAATGTCATTATGTATGTGACAGTGTTACTGGAATGCTGGTCCTGGTCTAGACCCCAAGAGAGGGTTCTTGGACCTCACGCAAGAATGAATTCAGGGTAAGTCCATAGAGTAAAGTGAAAGCAAGTTTATTAAGAAAGTAAAGGAATAAAATAGGCAGAGCAGCCCTGAGGGTGGCTGGTTGGCTATTTTTATGGTTATTTCTTGATTATATGCCAAACAAGGCATGGATTATTTCTGAGTTTTCTGGGAAAGGGGCAGGAAATTCTCCAAATTGAGGATTTCTCTTCCTTTTAGACTATATAGAGTAACTTCCTGATGTGGCCATGGCATTTGTAAACTGTCATAGCTGATGGGAGTGCCTCTTAGCATGCTAATGCATTATAATTAGCATATAATGAGCAGAGAAGATGATCATAGGTTGCTTTCATTGCCTTCTTGGTCTTGGTGGGTTTTGGCCTGCTTCTTTATGGCATCCTGTTTATCAGCAGAGTCTTTGTGACTGGTATCTTGTGCTGACCTCCTATCTCATCTTGTGACTAAGAATGCCTAACCTCCTGGGAATGCAGCCCAATAGGTCTCAGCCTCATTTTACCCAGCCCCTATTCAAGATGGAGTCACTCTGGTTCAAGCACCTCTAATATCAGTATTAAATTGAGACTGTTTCATCACTGATAATAACTAGGAATTTTAATTGGTTGATGGCAGCTGTGGAAGGCATAGGAGCTTCCTAAATTTTCACTTAGGAATGGGGGAAAAACAGCTAGCTGCACAACATAAATATAAATTAAAAAAAAAAGTCACTCTGTGATTGCCTGCCATGAGTTGTGCTTTGTTGTCATACTCGCTTCATGCATTCATGACAGCAGGAGAGCAGCATGTCTGACGTAGAGAGTATGGACTACTGGATGATGGGAAGGCACATTGAGTGGAGTGGATTCTGAAGTTCAAAAACATGACAGGCAAGTTTAAATTTGATTATTAAGGAACTAAGGAATGATATGAAGATATTTAGCATCAGTGTGATATGGTGAAAGTGATATTTAAGGAAAATTATTCTGGCAGCAGTGTCCTAGATGGATTGTAGGACTAGAACATTTGAATAGAAAAACTAGTTATAAAAATCCATACATAAAGTAATGAGGGTCGTACTAAAGAGACAGCAATACAGAGCAAAAGGAACTTAAGGATATTTTACAGGACAAGAATATGAGTTGTAATGAATTGGATTTATTAATGAAAGGATGAGCTATACATAATTTCTTAATTTTAACTAATGTGATTGATGGTCCAATTGACATCAAGTTGACAAATACCTTAGAAGTGCCACCTAAAGTACAGAACTGTAATTTAGATGAGAGGACAGGGGAAAATACTAAAATAAAGTATTAACAACTATTAAAGCCATGAAACATGAAAACATGAATATTTTGAAAGAAAGAATACATTAAATTATCTTCAAGCCGGGTGCAGTGGCTCACACCTGTAATCCTAACACTTTGGGAGGCTGAGGCAGGTGGATGGCTTGAGCCCAGGAATTCGAGGCCAGTCTGGGCAACATGGTGAAACTCTATCTCCACTAAAAATACAATGTTAACCGGGCGTGGTGGCACATGCCTGTAGTACCAGCTACTCTGGAGGCTGAGGTGGAAGGATTGCTTGAGCCCAGGACGCGGAGGGTGCAGTGAGCTGAGATCACACCACTGCACTCTAGCCGGGGTGACAGAGTGAGATCCTGTCTGAAAAATAAAAACTACAATAAAAAAAAGGTCTTCAAACTTTGGAGTATATAATAATTACTGGTGGAGCTTGTTAAAAATGCAATTCTTAGATCCTTTCCCAAATCTAAAAATCAGAATGTCTGGCTAATCGCCCAGGAAATTCTGTTTTTACAAATAGCCAAAATGATTTTAATGCAGGTAGTCAGGGGACACCCTTTGAGACCCTCCAGGGAATAGAACAAATAGCGTAGCACTTCGCTAGAGGAATGCTTAGAAGTCTGAGGAGGAAGAAGGACCACTGGAAAAGTCCAAGGGATTGTTAAGGAAGGCAAAAAAGAAAACTGTAATATAACCAAAGGAAAGAGACAAAGAGCAAGGGGTCATCATGTCTCTGATAGATGATAGGAGTCAGGGAACAATGAGGGTGGAGATGACTTCCAGTTGGCTGTCTTTCACTTTCACCCTGTCTGTATTCTTTTGTTTCAGGTGTGCTTCTTATACACAACATATGGTTGGATTTATTTTGAAATCCACTCTGATAATGTTTGTCTTTTAACTAGAGTATTTTGTGTGTTTGTCTTTTCTGAAGTCTTTCCTCCTTTAAATCTGCTATTGGTTCTTGGTCTCACTCATGTTGACATATTTCCTGATTTTTTGTGTGTTTTTTTTTAATTGTGGGCTTGGATCTTTATCTGAGGAATTCTTTGAATCCTTGGGTGAAGGTGGGTTTCTTTAGAAGGTATTTAGGTATTTGTGTTTCTTTTGCCCGAGTGTCCTAGAGACATACTTCTCCCTACAATTTTAATCTAACTTCTTGGCTTGAAATTTTTCACATCATCCTATATTGTGAGTTCAGACTAAAAACTGGTGTGAATCTGGTTTATAGTTAGGAATTCTCAAAGGAAATTTTTATCACCTCTTATTTATCACTGAATTTCAAGCCAGACAATTTTATTTGCGATCTACTGGGGATACAGAAGCTTATTTCTAGTTCACCCTTAAACTGAAACCTTTGTGGACCTAATTTTATTGGAGAAACTCTTCTGAGATTCTCCATCCCCAGTCTGCCCCTACCCTCAAATGGCTCTGATCTTGTCTTCTGCCCTCCATGAGCTCCACAAGGTCAGTAAAAGGAAAGATTAAGGTCACTAGGATTTTGCGAATGTCCTGAGAGCCAAAGCCAAATTCAGTATGCTGCTTATTCTCTAGGTTTCTCACATCACTTAAACTTTTTGCCTTCTTTATTGTCAATTTATTGAAGCATTTATGAGGATGTGTTTTTATATTTTATGGAGCACTTGCTTTCAGGAGGAAGGTTAGTCAGAGTCCCTAGTGCTAGAACACAAAACTTTCCTTTAGTAGTCCTTTCAGTGACGGTCTGTAAGATATAAATTATCTGTCTGTGTTTGTTTTATTTTATACTTAATTTTACCAATATTACCTGGGACCCATGAAAGAGGCCCAAGAGGAACCCTCTGCATTTACCAGAAATTGGGAACATTTACAAAGAAGACAGGTAAGGGAGTCTTTATCTGGACACTTGATTTTTCTGTAAGGACAACTAGATTCTAGATTCAACACCTTCTGCGATTAGAGGGGGTGGCTACTCATCTCTTCCCAGAAGGCTGAGCTTCTCAGAGAATGAGGATAAAGCAAGCTGTTGCTTCTTATTATCTCAGCCTTATTGGTTTAGAGAAGATCCCATATTTAGTCTGGCAGGTTGGGGTGACTTGTGGGGTGATGGCACTAGCGGGGAACCAGAAATTCTTGGAAGTCCATATAGAAAATAAAAAGTTAATGAAACAGATAATAATAATAAGCCTTTTATTGCTGGACAAACATGGAGTCCTTCATAATTTGTATGTGTATGCAAGTCTCTCTGTGTGTGTATGTATGTGTGTGTGTGTGTGCATGTGTCTGTGTGTGTGTGGAGTTAGTTCATGCTATACTCAGGTGAGTTGAATGCACCTAGCTATAACTGTGATTAAATTGCCTAATATACATAATTCATAGAAATAGCAAAATGCCTAAAAGCAATCAGTGCCTTCATAGGGCAGGGGTTCCCAACCCCTGGGCCACTGACTGGTACTGGTCTGTGGCCTGTTGGGAACCAGGCCACACAATGGGAGGTGAGTGAGCATTACCGCCGGAGCTCTACCTCCTGTCAGATCGGCGTAAGCATTAGATTCTTATAGGAGCACTAACCCTATTATGAACTGTGCGTGCAGGAGATCTAGGTTGCGTGCTCCTTATGAGAATCTAACTAATGCCTGATGATCTGAGGTGGACCACTTTTATCCTGAAACCATTCCCCCGCCAGCCCTGTCCTGTGGAAAAATTGTCTTCCACGAAACCGGTCCCTGGTACCAAAAAGGTTGAGGATCACTGATTTGGAGGTTAAATATATTGAATAGCTAAAAACTATTGTATAAATAAGAAGGCATCTATTCAGAAGAAACTGTTTATGAAGGCAGCATTTTTCAATCTGCTAAACCTATATCATCTATAGATTTCTATTTTCAGTAATAATACCACTCTAAATATTTTTGTAATGTTTTTATTGCAGTTGCATTAATTTCTGCAATTTTTGAACTGTATTATAAAAATGGCAAGTATTTGAATATGCTTTCTAGACTACAACCCCCTCCAAATTTGCCCACACAACTCCTCTTTACACTCCCATTGAGAGTCTGTAGTGTAATCCCTTATTAGCATTTTCCTGACAAAAGGACCATCTTTTGGTACATACTTTATTGGAGTCACTTAAAAGCTTTTCCTTCAATTGCCCCCTTTTTCCCACCTGTTGTCCACCATTCCCCAAATCCCTCTGCTTCTCACTGGTCATGCTGAACATAAGACAAATCCGTCACAAATGCCATTGTCTAAATGAATCTTTTCATCACTAGAAGGCAGTTTCCTTGACATAGCTTTCATGTCAGCAAACCAGAACAAGAACTTCTTGAAGGCATGGCCAATGGGTGTCCCTCTTCCTGAACCTCTGGCCATCCCTTCTTTTCCTGCATTTTCCCTGAGATCTGACTTCTCAAATAATTTTTGAAACCTTGCACTTTTGTAAAGCTCATCTTTTTAATGGACACTAACCTATTGCTGTTGGTGAAAATAAAGGTCAAAAATAATATTAAAAGGATTTTCTGACATCTTCTACCTAAAGTTAATATTGGTAAATTTACTTTCCAATATACAAAATACATGTGATTATACCTTTTGTGATGAGATTGATAGCAAAAAAAATAGATGGTAAGTGTTGCCTAAAAATCAAAATCACAAATATAGAGATGTATAAATGGTTGCTGTGCAGTTATGGATATGTAGGTTGGCTTTAGAATAAAAATAAATATCTAAGATGTAGAAGATACCAAGTAGCAGGTATTTACATGGCTCTTACAGATGCAATGTCACTGTAAGCCAAGGCCTTGATTCTGTTTTGTGTGTCTGGGGACCAGTGTGTGCACATGACTCAAATCAGCCCCAGAAAGTAGTCAGTTGGCAAAGCATAGATGTACAGTTTCACCTTCAAGTTGAAAAAAAATTTAAAAAAAACTACAGATCTTCACAGATTGTTCTTTAATTATGTAGTCCTTTCTGCAGAGATATTTTCCAATGATTTGCTTGTTTTTGGTGCTAGTTGTTAGATGTATAATCTAAGTTGTGGCTTGTGATGAGAGCTTTCATGTTAAGGTAATTAAAATCAAAGAAATTCAGGGTAATATGTCTTGGAGATAAGAACAACTTTTTCAGAAAGTTATTGAACAGTCACCATGTGCTCATGCTACAGTTCTTTCTTTACTTGTGTCCTGTTAGCTGAGTTCCTCAGAGATCTGTAAGGTAGAGCCTACGCGTTTCCTTATGTTTCCAATGAAGAAGCAGTTGCTGAGAGAAGTTTCATGATTTCTATCAAGTAACACCAGTAGGTGGAGCAGCCAGGACCTGCTCACCTTATCACAATGGAAAATTTCAAATGAGCAGATTCCAGACTCAGAGATAGAACCAAGACTATAGAATGAAATGAAAGGAAGTGGAAGGCATTTTTATTTATCATCATTTCACAGGTATTTTATTTCTGGAACTAGCTATGCATTTTCTAACTTTTATTTTTCTAAAACTCCAAAATAAGGCTTCTGATTTATTAATTAAATAGTATTCATCAACTATCTGTTAATCGTAGCAACACGTTTAAATACATATCATGTGAATCAGCATTT
Source organism: Homo sapiens (assembly GCF_000001405.40). Lineage (NCBI taxonomy): Eukaryota > Metazoa > Chordata > Mammalia > Primates > Hominidae > Homo > Homo sapiens. The sequence goes on along the minus strand of NW_017363814.1, from coordinate 277,371 downwards.
GGTTACAACTGTCACACAAAAAATGCATGAGTTTTACCATAAAGGCTGTGATTTCCCTTAGTTGTTGAACCCTAAGTAGACATGAAAGGATAGTAATAATAGAAACAAAGGTTTAGTCATATTCACCATGTTTATAAAAATATTAGTTTGTGTCCATTGTCACAAATCCTCCCATGAAGTAAGGAGAAGGCAGAAATAATATGCTTTTGAAATACAGGGACATAGAAACACAGTCTGTAAATCATAATGAGTGTTGTTAAATAAAATTTATAGGAAGTCATTGGTTTGAACGGAGCTCCTGCGCTAGGCCCAACAGACCAGACCAAAATGGAGTCACTCACGCTAAAGTTTCATGGCCACCAAGCTGAAATGAAGTTGTCTATTTGACCTTCCAAGAAATCAGGAGAGAGAGGGATAATAAATAGCCAAACCCCCAAATGAGCCAATTTTAGCTGGCATGATAAGAAAGTCCCATCTGATTTAACCTTTACAAGGAAAGTAACTGTGAAATGACTTTTTGTTCCCTGTTTCTGTTTTCCTTTTCTGTCTATAAAGCCAGCCACTTCTGCTCAGCTCACTGGAACACATCGAGGTGTTTCTCAACTCTAGAATTGCAAATAAAAGCCAATTAAGATCTTTAAACTAAATTTGTTGTCATTTTGTCTTTTGGCAATATTTATTGAGCATTAACTGCCTGATTTAACTGTCATGCCAAACCTTTGATATAGGAACTAGTTTTATCTCCATTTCACAAATGAGCAAATGAATCCAAAAAAGATCAACAGCCCATAAACGTAATGAGAAAGTGACAACCAAAATGTGAACTGAGACAGTCTGGCTTCAGAGTTCCCACCTTACCATACGCCTCCTGCTGGTGTTCATGTCCTAGGGCTGCCATAACAAAGCACCACGCACTGGGTGGCTTAGACAGCAGAATCTCATTCTCTAACAGTTCTGGAGGCCAGAAGTCTGAAATCAAGGTGTCAACAGGATTAGTTTCTTCTGGAACCTCCCTTAGCTTCTGGTGTTTGTTGGTGATCTTTGGCACTCCTTGGTCTATGGCAGTGTTACTCTCATCTCTGTTTCCATTTTTGCATGTCCTTCTTTTCTGTGTCTTCTTGTGTCCTTCCTTGTGTGTGGACACCGGTCATTGGATTTAGGGCACCCTTAAAACCAGGATAATTTCCTCTTGAGATCCTTAACTAATTATATCTACAAAAACCCTTTTCCAAATAAGGTCATATTCTGAGGATCCAAGTGGACATAAATTTGGTGAGACATGATCCAACTTACTATATTACCTTTCTAAAATTATGTTATCTTAAAATAATACTCGATTCTTTTCTCAATTATTGCCAAATTTATGACCTTTCCATGGTACTCCCGCAACTGTGAGGACCACTGTCAGGTTCAGGTCTTCAAGGGTTTTGGGTTTTGCTTTAAGTAAATTATTTCCTTTAAACTGAATATTTAAATTAGTGTTATGTCTGTTGTTGGTGGTGCATTGGTGTAAATAGTGGTGTTCAGAGTTGATTCTCTCAAATGATCAGTGTTTCAAATGACAAAGTGAGAGAGAATAATAGTTAAGCCATCTGTGTCCACTGGAAATGTATTTGGGCCTCCCAAAAAGGGACTATCAGCCCACATCCCTGTTGCCAACTTGTGTCAGTATCCAGCTTTATAAAATCAGAAAGCTTTATTGAAAAGATTTTGAAATATTAACTTAGGGGAACACATTGTAAACCCCATGCAAACTATAAGAGTCTGCCACCTACAGTAGTGGGACAAATGCAAAATATACATCTATCCAGGACTGGTTTAGATAAGTCTATGGACCAGAAATCTGTACCATTTAAGTAAAGGGGCTAGACATGTTGGAATGAGTGTCATTACAGCCTCTCCCAAAATGCTCCTTGGTGGCAGGCTACCAGGTCAGATTGGCCACTGGTCAGCTCTTCCAGCGGACTTCCTATGCATGCTTTGCAGTGAAGTATTGATGCTACTCAAGTTCCTCCTACTTTCCCTTTCCCCAAAATATTTTTAAATCATTCATTATTGATTATTTCTTGGTGCATGGAATTACCCATCTAATACCTTGTAGTCCTTAGGAGAGAAGGAAGGGAACTAGTATTGTATTAAGGAGTCAGTATATGTCAGACACTATGCTACAGTACTTTGTAGTACTATACTGTAGTACAACAGTACTTTGTTTATATATACGATGTAATTTTATCCTCATAGCAGTTCTGCACAGTAAATGGTATTAGTCTGATTCTTCAGTCTGTTTAAAGTGATAAACAGAAGCTCAGAGCACTTAAGAAACTGCTGAAGATCAAACTAGGGATTGATAGAACCAAGATTTGAACCCAGCTGTATCTGATGCAAAAATCTGACTCCATGCTCTTTTCTTACTCCATCAACCCTAAATAATAGATTTCTTGCCTTGCTTTTAAGAAGCCGTTCCCCATATGGAAAATATCTAGGATGCCAGGTTTATGTAGGAAGTCTGGTTCTGCTAAGATTTAATCAAAATCATTCCCAAATAAACCTAGCACTGAGAACATAAAATTAGCATATAGAATCAGAACTCTAACATTCATAGCATTTGAAGGCAAGGATTAAAAACGTTACAAATGTCACTCATTTGTTTGTGCAGTACTGATGCAGGAGGGAGACTCGTATTTTAAACTGAAATAATGATTATATCCTCTGAATATATCACATTGATTAAAGTGGTCTTCTAACTGTCACAGACGTATCTTTAATATATCATCCTAAGCAGGTTCACAAGAGTTAGATACATACAAATCTGAAGTCGGACATTATCACTAAAAATCAGGGTATTTTAAATGTCCAGTTTTGTGACACAAAGTTTGCAGCTTGTTATGGTAAACACTCCACATCAAGAGGGGGAGTATGGGTTTAAAATGCAAATGAGTACAGTTAAATATGGGGTAGACTTTTCGATGGGTATCTAGGAATTATGAATTATTTTTCTATAGTTTTTGAACATAAGATAGTTTCCCACTGGCCAGGGACAAATTTTGTGGTCTTAAGTAGAAGCAGCTCAATAAATGACTTTTCAGGGTTCCAGGAATTCGACTTTAAGCATGAACAGTTACTTACATAGGCACCTGATCTGGTGACTTTCTTTATTAAATGGGCAATTAGGTAGAATTCATGTATAATTCATTAAAAATAATTATATATGTTGACTAAATAAGGACATGTTACCAAAGGCACAAAAGTGATTTTATACACTGAAACTACATTGCATGGGACAAAGTTGTTATGGGATGATTTTCCCTCTCTGAGTTGACTGATTTTTAAATGTAGTACATCAGGACCTAGAGGAATTCCTTCATTAATATCATAACTGCCACTTAAGTAGACTAGCATCTTTGTAGGGGCTGTCTGTTCCGTTCTATTGTCTATTCTTGCTTTGGTAGCACACACTATAAATGGTTACAGATGTATAATAATGTAAATATTTGATCTGGAGTTCTGACACCACATTACTCTTCTGCTATGGACTACATGTTTGTGCCCCTCCAAAATTCATATGTTGAAACCCTCACCCCTAATGGGATGGAATTAGGAGAAAGGGTCTTTGGGAGCTAATTATGTTTAGATAAAGTCATAATGGTGGCGCTCCACAATGGGATGAGTGGCTTATACGAAGAGAGGGACTAGAGCTTGCTTCTTCTGCCATGTGAGTATACAAGAAGATGGCTGTCTGCAAACCAGGAAGGGAGCCCTGTCCAGACACTGATTCTGCTGGCACCATGATCTTGGGCTTCCCAGCCTCCAGAAGTGTGAGCGACCCAGTCTATGCTACTTTTGCTATAGCAGCCAAACTGACTAAGACATCTTATCTCTTCTTTGTGTAATTCTGACTAATCTCAAGCCATCTCATGATTTTTTTCCAGGTTGGTTTGTTTATTTGTTAATTAATTCAACAAATAATTACCAAACACCTTTTCTGAGCCTGGGACTGTGCCAGACCCTGTTTGGTAGTGGTGAATGAGACAGACACAGTCCTTGCTCTCATGGGCTTTAACTTGTGAGGGGGACAAACAAAAACAGGAAAACAGAAAATACCACAGGTTATGATAGGTTTCATGAAGGAAACAACAGGGGAGTTAGGCAGAGAATAACAAGAGCCTGTTTTGCAAGGGTGGCATAATTAGGACTTGTAGTTTTTGTCTGCCCAGCATGCACTTGTTTATTTGCTTGGAGAACCTTGACATGTGAACAAGGTGACGTTGGTCAAACATCACATCCCTTCAAGCCATAGTGATTATTACATCTAACTAGTACAAGCCAGGCCAGTAGAATCAGTTAGATCAGCATCAGTCAGCAGCCAGTCAGGAAAACAGAAACAGTAACATTTATAGTAACAGAAATAATTTAGTATAGACAGCTGGTTAAGTGGATAATGGAAGACAGAAAAGGCGAAAAGGAAACACCAAGATTAACATATGATGGAAGCAACTATCACCCCTAGGCTGGGGGAACTAAGCTAAACATTTGGCGTCATCAAAACTTAGCATTAGCGAGGAGGCCCTGCAGAGCTGGGACCTAGACATCTTGGGAGAAGGCACAGCCAGACGGGGACTGATGCCCCAAGACACTGTTACAGGCGACTTTCAGATCTGTTCCACCAGTGGCAGGTACTGGTAGGAAACTGGACAACAGGAGGAGGAGAGAAGGGGCTTTTTCATGCTTTCTTCTGTGTTTAGTATTCCTCCCAAGTCCTTTGGCACCAACTGCACCATTTTCCTCAGAAATGCCACCATCAGCTATGTCAGCCACGCAAGACCTTTTGGACAGTGAGCACTGCCCTCACCAGGCCTCCTTGGATTATAGCAGCCACACCATGGTGACCAGAGTACTTCCTGGGCCCTGCCCTTAAAGGTTTGAACGTAGCTCTGCACTAATCCTCTGAGACACCTGAGTCTCAGCTGCACAGGGATGCCTCGGAACTGTGGACGCTAGCCCTGCGGCACCGCCTCAGGGCTCCAAGACACACCATGGCTCACCCTCCTCCTCTTTTTGATAGAGGTAGCAATACTGCCTTTTTCCTTCTGTTTCTGCAACCCTAGAGAAGGTTGCAGGTTCTTGGAGTTACTGTTCATCACCCCCTTCTTATTCTTCTGGCTTTCCCATACTTGTGTAATCAGTTTCTTTAATTAAATAGCCACTAAAATTCTTAGGACGGTTTCAGTTTCCCTGATTAGACCCTGACCAAAACAAATATATTGAATATAATTCAAGAAATGAAGGAAGTGACTGAATGTATAGATATGCATATTTGCTGATAAATGACCTAGTAGCCATGCTCAGATCTAAGCCCAGCCTATTTATACAGACATACCCCACTTCATTGTGCTTCACAGATAGTGTGCTTTTTACAAATTCATGGTTTGTGGCAACTCTCCTCAAGCAAATTTATTAGTGTTATGGGGACACTTTGTGTCTCTATGTCACATTTTGATAATTCTCATAACATTTCAAACTTTTTCATTATTATTATACCTGTTATGATGATCTGTGATCAGTAATTTTTGATATTATTATTGTAATTGTTTGGGGATGCCACAAACCATGGCCATGAAAGACTGCTAACATAACTGATAAATGTTGTGTGTGCTCTGATTGCTCCACCCATTGGCTGTTTCCCGTCTCTCTCTCTCTCCCCAGGCTGCCCTAATCCCCAAGACACAGCAATGTTGAAATTTGGCAGTTAATAACCCTATAATGGCCTTTAAGTGTCCGAGTGAAAGGAAGAGTGGCATATCTCTCTCTTTAAATCAAAAGCTAGATATGATTAAGCATAGTGACGAAGGCATGACAAAAGTGCAGATAAGCCAAAAGCTAGGCCTCTTGCACAGTTATCCGAATTGTGAATGTAAAGGAAAAGTTCTTGAAGGGAATTAAAAGTATACTCCAGTGAACAGAAAAATGATAAGAAAGCAAAAGAGACTCATTGCTGAGTCAGAAAGTTTGAGTGGTCTGGATAGATCAAAGCAGCCACATCATTCCCTTAAGCCAAAGCCTAATCCAGAGCAAGGTCCTAACTCTTTTTAAATATAGGAAGGTTGAAAGAGATGAGGAAGCTGCAGAAAAAAAATTTGAAGCTAGCAGAGGTTGGTTCATGAGGTTTAAGGGAAGACGCCATCTCCATTACCTAAAAGTGCAAGATGAAGCAGCAAGTGCTGATGGAGAAGCTGCAGCAAGGTATGTAGCAAATCTAGCTAAGATTCTTGGTGAAGGTGGTTACACTAAACAATAGATTTTCAATGTAGATGAAACAGCCTTATATGAAATAAGATGCCATCTAGGACTTTCATAGCTAGAGAGGAGAAGTCAATGCCTGGCTTCAGAACTTAAAAGGGCAGGCTGACTCTCTTGTTAGGGGCTAATGCAGCTGGTGACTTTAAGTGGAACAATGCTAATTTATCATTCTGAAAGTCCTAGGGCTCTTAAGAAATATACTGTATCTACTCTGACTGTGCTTTATAAAAGGAACAACAGAGCCTGGATGACAAACAGATGTTATCTGTTTACAGATATCATCTGTCTACAGCCTGGTTTACAGAATATTTTAAACCCACTGTTGAGACCTATTATTCACAAAAAATTCTTTCAAATCATTACTGCTCACTGACAATGCACATGGCTACCTAAGAGCTCTGATGAAGATATACAAGGAGGTTTTTTCTTAATGCCTCCTAATACAAGATTCATTCTGCAATCCATGCATCCATCAAGGAGTAATTTTGACTTTCAAGTATTTTATTTAAGAAATACATTTCCTAAGGCTATAGTTGCCATAGATAGTGAGTCCTCTGATATATTTGGGTAAAATACATTGAAAACTTTCTGGAAAGGATGCACCATTCTAGATGCCATTAAGAACATTTGTGATTCATGGAGGGAGGTTAACATAGGAGTTTGGAAGAAGTTGACTCCAACCCTCACAGATGACTTTGAGGGAATCACCACTTCAGTGAAGTGGTAAAAATAGCAAGAGACATAGAATTAGAAGTGGAGCCTGAAGATGTGACAGAATTGCTGCAATCTCATGATAACACTTAAACTAATGAGGAATTGCTTTTTTGGATGAGCAAAGAAAATGGTTTCTTGAGATGGAATCTACTCCTGGGGAAGATGTGAACATTGTTGAAATGACAACAAAGGATTTAGAATATTCCATATACTTAGTTGATAAATCATCAGTAGGGCCTAGGAGGATTGGCTCCAATTTTAAAGAAGTTCTAATGTGGATAAACTATTAGCAAATAGCATTGCATGCTACAGAAAAAAATATTTTGTGGAAGGAAGAGTCAATCAATGTGGCAACCTTCCTTGTTGTCTTATTTTAAGAAATTGCCACAGCCACCGCCACCTTCAGTAACCACCACACTGACCAGTTAGTACCCATCTACATTGAGGCAAGCCCCTCCACCAGCAAGAAGATTACCACTCACTAAAATCTCAAATGACTGTTAACACTTTTTTTTTTACCAATAAAATATTTTTAAATTAAGGTATATACATTGTTTTCTTTAGACTTACTGTTATTGCACACTGAATAGGCTACAACATAGTGTAAACATAACTTTTTATGCACTGGAAAATCAAAAAATTTCTGTGTCTCACTTTTTTTTGCAGTATTGGCTTTATTGCAGTGGTCTGGAATAAAGCCCACAGTACCTCTAGAGCCCTTCAAGTTCAAAGACAAGTGAATTTACCAATTGTGTTGATTTCTTTTGATGGTTATATTTAGTTGAGTATAATGCTTTCATTTAATTAAAAAAATAAAATTAAAAAGACTAAACTTTTGGGCTTCTGGAAATAATTAACCCAAGGATTCAGCACTTTCAGACAGGAAATACTTCTGTCTGATATTACCTGGGAGATTAAGGTAAAACCATGGTAGGTTTAAGTGATTAGCCTATGGATACGCACAGAAAACAGTGGAGCTTCTGATGTTATTGAAAAATTACTTAGAGCCTAGTAATTGATGGACAGGTTTTTTGTTCACACAATATTTATAATCCCATTACTACACAGGAATTTTTGATAGATCAGCATATTATATATAGATAGATATGTGTGTGTATATATATATGAATGTATGTGTATATATATGAATGTATGCATTACGATACATATACAGTATATAGAGTGATGGTCTCTACTTCTAAGACTTCTATGAAATGAAAAATGGAGGAATATGATAACAGGCATTTTCTTTTTAAAACCTAGCGGAAAACTGAGATTTCAGAGATTTACCTTGTATGGTTAGGTGCTTATAGAGCGGTGTTTTGAAATACTTGAAAACGTTCTCTTTTTTTTTTTTTTTTTTGAGACAGAGTCTCGCTCTGTCTCTCAGGCTGGAGTGCAGTGGCGCGGTCTCGGCTCACTGCAGCCTCCACTTCCCGGGTTCACGCCATTCTCCTGCCTCAGCCTCCCAAATAGCTGGGTCTGCAGGCGCCCGCCACCACGCCCGGCTAATTTTTTTGTATTTTTAGGAGAGACGGAGTTTCACTGTGTTAGCCAGGATGGTCTCCATCTCCTGACCTCGTGATCCACCCGCCTCGGCCTCCCAGAGTGCTGGGATTACAAGCGTGAGCCACCGCGCCCGGGCGAAAACGTTTTTTCAAATTATTAACAAGGCACTTCCCTTTGAGAAGTAAGGTTCACGATTCTCCCCCCACATAAATTCATTTCTTTGAGTGGCTACCATATGCAAGGTTCTAAGCTAAGCCCTCTTCATAATAGCTAACATTTGTGTGATGTTTCACTGTTTACATACAACTTTAAATTTCGTTATCTCCTGCTCACCTATAACTGACAGCTCTTATTTGTCTTTGTTGACGTTACACTTAGTTACTGATTGGCTTGTATAAATTCTTTAAGGGTAAAGATTCTTGAAAAGGTTACATTTGTATAACTCTCTATAATTGATGTCATGTCTCCCTTTTTCTTCCCTTTTCCTTTCCTTCAAATTTATTTGATAACTCATAATATGGCAAATAAAATGGACATTCATCAGTAAAATTTTGTTAAGACAGTAAACTTAATTTTGCTTCATGGACTAACATTCCAGGTGGTATCAAGGATAAAATAAGTGATGTGTTGCTTCTTGCTCCCCATTGTCAAATCATCGGGAACCTCAAAAACTATTATTAAACTGTCTCAATTAAAAATGCCAGTTTGGGGATTTGGAGGGGCTATAATTAGACACCAAATAGTTCTATCAGAGAGAATATTTTTCAGTACCAGAGTGAATATAGTATAGATATTAATTTTATTAGACTTCACATTTGCTGTATGTTACTAGGACACACTTTAGTAATTTGAATATTTGAAACATTATTTTTCATGTTCGGCTTTATATAGACAGCTTCTCCAGAGTTTGTTTATTATAACCTCAGGGATTGATTTAATGGAAATTAATCCCTTTAATATCTTCATTTAATGGTTCTGAAATATCCATGATATTCATTCTTGAAATTTTTTGTAGAATTAGAATCCTATTTTTAAGGAAGTGTGCTCTGCAATTATTTTTAGAGGCCCACATTTTAATGTCCAATCTTAGTTTACACTATAGTTTACAAGTTTCCTTCATAGTCCTAAAAAAGTTAAATAATAACCAAACATATCTTCTTTTTCTGAATATCTTTAAAATATATTTTTTCATTTACAAAGTTAACATATAATTATTAAAAAATTTTTAAACTATAGGAATGTAAGAAGTAAAAAGTGAGCTTCCCATAATCTCAACACACAAAGATGACTTCCCTTAACAGTTCCTATCCTTTCATATTTTTCAGTATGCATAGTTCTGTGTGTATACACATCGTATATGTATTAGTGTTTGTATTCAAACTTTACATAGTGTTCTGTAATCAAATATTCTCAGCAGGTTTTCATGAATTTTTCTTTTACATTAAATAGAGATATACCATGATTTTAAAAATGTTTGGCTGGGCGCGGTCGCTCACACCTGTAATCCCAGCACTCTGGGAGGCCGAGATGGGCGGATCACAAGGTCAGGAGTTTGAGACCAGCCTGGCCAATATGGTGAAACCCCTCTCTACTAAAAATACAAAAATTAGCTAGGCGTGATGGTAGGCGCCTGTAGTCCTAGCTACTCAGGAGGCTGAGGCGGGAGAATCGCTTGAATCCAGGAGGCAGAGGTTGCAGTGAGCCGAGATCACGCCACTGCACTCCAGCCTGGGCAACAGAGTGAGACTCCATCTCAAAAAAAAAAAAAAAAGTTTGTTCATGTGATTATTACTTTTATGTGTTAACTTGAATAGTCCACAAGATGCCCAGATAGCTGATTAAACACTGTTTCTGGGTGTCTCTGTGGGTGGATTTTCATTTGAATTGGTGAACTGCGTAAAGCAGATGGCCAGCCCTAGAATGGGTGAGCATCATCTAATTCACTGAGGGCCTGAAAAAGAACAAAAAGGTGGAGGAAGGTTGAATTTGCTCTCTGCCTAACAGCTTGAGCTGAGACATCAGTCTCTTGCCCTCAGTGCTCCTGGCTCTCAGGCCATCAGACCCTGACTAGAATCTACACCACTGACTACCTGGCTCTCAGGCTTTCAAACTATACCATCAGCTTTTCTATGTCTCCAGCTTGCAGATGGGTGAACATGGGACTTCTCAGACTTCATAATCTCAGCCAATTCCTTAATGTAAATCTCACTTTATATCTATCTATTAATGTCTATCTATCTATCTCTATATGTAGATATGAGAGATATAAGATCTATAGATATCTATATCTACAGAGGAGAGATCCCATTGGTTTGCTTCTCTGGAGAATCCTGGCTAATACTTGTAGTATTGACATTATTTTTTCAAGCACAATGGATTGATAACATAGACTCACGTTTGCAACTTGTTTTTCACATAAAATGTAGTGTGTAAAGTCTTTCTAGATGAAAACATGTATATTTACTTCATTTTGATGCTACACAGTATTCTATTGTATTGATATACCACAATAGAGTGCACTGTCCATTCTTTTCCTGATGGATATTAAGGTCATTTTCAGTGTTCCAAATGACATCCTCTTGATTTATTTCTGTGTACTTACACAAATATAGAGTAGATTTCTGAGTTATTGAGTGTGAACAATTAAAATTTTGATAAGTATCACCAAAGTGCCTTTTGGAGAATGTACATAAATAACAACCTGCTATTAACTCTGGGTATTATCACTTAAATATTTTAGGAAAACAGAGAGGTAAAAATGAGGTAGTGGTTTTAATTTTGTATTTTCATTATTATTAGTGATTTTAGGTAGTATTATATTTATCAACATTTTATTGTTTCTTATCTAAACTACCTGTCCTTATCCACTGCTAATCTAACTTTCAGTTATTTTCCATTTTGTTTACAGATCTCTCTTCTCCTTATGTATAGTAAATTGTTGTTTGTATATTTTCAAAATTTCTTTTAATTTTATTTATAAATCATTCAGTAAACTAATGAGTAAATGAAGGACTGATATAAAATATTAAAAACCGGTAATTAAGTAAGGCATGTTAAGTTCATAATAGGCACATGTACCCAGGCTGCTGCGGGATCATAGAATAGTGGTAGCTAGAGCTAAGTGGAGAGAAAGAGAAGGCCAGCTGCACCAGATGAAACCTGAGCTGTGTTTTAAAATATGACTAGAGGCCAAGTGCAGTGGCTCACACCTATAATCCCAGTACTTTGGGAGGCCGAGGTAGGCAAATCACGTCAGGAGTTCGAGACCAGGCTGGCCAACATGGTGAAACCCTGGCTCTACTAAAGATACAAAAATTAGCCGGGCATGGTGATACGTGCCTGTAATCCCAGCTACTCGGGAGGCTGAGGCAGAAGAATCGCTTGAACCCAGGAGGCGGAGGTCACAGTGAGCTGAGATCATGCCACTGTACTCCAACCTGGGCAACAGAGTGAAACTTCATCTCAATAATAATAATAATAATAATAATAAAATATGGCTAGAAATTGTTACATCAAAGAAGATGAAGAAGTTGTTCTGGGAAGAGGACGCAGCAATCCAGATGGAAGACAGCAAGGTCTTTTCTGGAAATTACAAGCTGTTCACTTTGCCTAGAGCAAAAGGTACTGTACAGAGAGCTATGACACAGAGAGCTATGAGATGGGGTTACAGAGAGGGAGAGGGGCCATTTATGAATAGCTTGGTATGTTAAGATAATGCATTTAAGCTTTACCCTGAAAAGCTGGGGAGCCATCGATGTGTCTAGATTTGGATTTCAAGAAGACTGGTCTAACACAAATATAAAAATAGTTCAGAAGGAGTCAGTCGGGATGCAGGAAGACCAGGTTGTGTTGAGGCAGACATTAAGTTTTTCATTGTCATAATCATCAGGGCTCAACATAAAATCTTTTAAAATTTCTCTGTAATCGGAATTTAGTGGTAGCTCTGGAAGAATATATACCTGGTGAGTGGGGATGTTTGGGGTAGGGGGACTTTTTCTTCTCTTCTGTACACATTTGTGTATATTCAAGTTTTATTTTTCAATCAATCAGAGACTTTAATACTAAAGCAATATTTTTTAGAAACTGCACCAATAACAGATGAGAAAGATCTGACTTGGAAATTTTTTGTGATAAGTACTGAGTGCTTTGATGGACCATCAAATCAGTCTGAAACCAGATGTGAATATGGTTACTAAAAGCTGGTGTACTAATAGTTGGTTACATTAGTATTTTATGGTATTCTAATAAAGAGTGTTTATCCTCTGCTTTATAACAGTAAAATTGTATCTGGAAACAAAGTTTGTTCACTTTGGTTATCAAAATTGAGATGATCAACTTGGACCATGTTTAGGAGAAAGAACTGTGAGAGAAATGACTTAAAATCATATTAGATAAGGAATCATTAAAGAAAATGGTTATAATCACAAATTGTCAAATTGTACACCTTAAACATATGTAATTTTATTGGTCAACTATACCTTAATAAAGCTGGGGAAAAAAGGAAAATGAGTATGTGTTTAGAGCAGGCCAAGCAAGATATTTGATTTCAGTAAATAAGAATATTTTATTAAATTTCTAATAGAAATAGAAACAAGAAATCGAAGTTGCAAGAGGGCAGATTTTTATATAAAAAAGGAAGAAATCAAATGGATGTCACCTTTTAATGCCTAGAAACTGATATCCCTGATGTTTTTGCCAACTTCTCCTAAACTGGCAAAGACTGCAGTATTCATTCATTAACTAATTGTTATGGCCAGTTGTACATGATGAATTCCATAAAGGCCAGCCATACGTATTTGTTCGCAAATTCATTTAATAAGTTTGCATACATTTTTCTCATTAAACAAAACTAACAGGTTCATTTCTTAAGTTGATTGCATTAGATCCGTTTTCAGGTTTTTAAACTAGTACACTAAGTGGTAGTATTAATAATATTAAATAATTCATTTTTGTCAGTATTACCGAATCTCTTCCCAACTTAGCCATAAATAAGTTCTCCTCTCACATACTCTACATGCATAAGCCTAAGTCGTCACTCTTGTCCCCATTGTCTTTACATTTGCTGAAGTTTTATTGTACACAGCTATTGTATTATATCTTCTCACCAACAAAGGTGGAGTGGAGTCAGTTTAAAAAGAGAGCTACCCTACACGGTCTAGTTCAGGGCAAATGTCAAATACCTTAGAAGATAAAATTTTAGTTTCATCCTGTAGACTTGGGATTCTGGCACTTGAGCAGGTTGTAATCACCCTACAACCCTGCGCTAGCCTGCATTAGAATATACTGGACTATGGGATATAATCTGATCTTCTGTCATCTCGGGCTGGTGATATGGTAAGCCCTAAAGAAGACAACACAATTTATATTTTTTCTAGTGACTTTATATACTTCTAAAATGTCTAATGTTTTAACTCTAGGAAAATATTGCTTACCTAACATAATTTGACATTGTTTTGCAAATATGCAGAAGGTCTTTGGTTGGCAAATACATGTATCAGTTCATCTCCAGAGAACAGACCCAACAGGATGTATGTGTGTGTGTGTGTGTATGTATGAGGAGACTGATCACAAGGAATTGGCTCATGTGATTATGAAGGCTGGCAAGTCCCAAGATCTGCAGGGTGAGCAGATCCATCAAACTGAGCCAGGAGAGCTGGCAGTGTTGCTTCAGTCTCAGTCCAAAGACCTGAGAACCAGGAGAGCCAGTCGTATAGTTTGAGGCTGAAGACCAGCAGGCTCGAGACCTAGGAAGAGCCAATGCTTCTATCTGAGCCTGAAGGCTGGAGAAAAACCAGTGCCCCAGGTTGGGAGCAGGAGCCATTCTCTCTTAGTCAGCTTTTTTGTTCTATTCAGGCCTTCAGTGGATTGGACCAGGCCTGCCCACATTAGGGAGGATGATCTGCTTTATTCAGTCTACAGATTTAAATGTTAATGTCATCCAAAAGCACCCTCACAGACACACTCAAAATAATGTTTGATCAAATGCCTGGACATCCTGTGGCCCAGTTAACACATAAAATAAAACATCACAATACACTTAATAGACCAGGTGTTACTATTGCTCATCAGTATTTATTACATGTTATCTGTTTACCAATGTTTTCTTTTCCCTACCCAGGAATTATTTACTTAACATTACCTCTTAGTCATTTGGAATCTACCACACTTTCGTTGATGGTCTCTGCTCAAGACGGTGGTGGGCTCACAGCTGTCATTAATGCCGATGTCACCATACACATTTTCCAGACAACTCTGGCACCTGCTGAGTTTGAAAGGCCTAAGTACACTTTCTTAGTTTATGAAGATGTGCCTGAAGATAGTCCCATTGGAACAGTGAAAGCAAGAGAGCCCTTGAGTAAGTACTTATTTCTTATGCTGCATGGAATTCCATTATTGGAACATTTCTTGTTTTTTTGTAGGCGGTACAATCTTGAATAATTTTTTTCTTCTTTCCACGCAAGTCAAAACAAGGGAGATAACACAAACTGTGGCTTGCTCTTTGTTCTTCCAACATTGTTTCTGTCCATCCCACAATTTTTTTTCTGATCACAAAAATAATAGGCATTTTAAAAAGAATGTTTAAAATAATACAGATTATAATATACAAAATATATGTCTCCTATAACCCACTCACAAAAACACACACATGTACACACAATTTACAAATTTTTGACAAAAATGCATCTTTCTATATTTGTTGTTATAGAGCTTCTTTCCCCACTTAGTATATACTGAACAACTTTCCAGATAAATGGATGCCATTCTGTTTCCTTAAAAGACAGTTTATAGTGTTTCAACTTAGATATGTTTTATGTTTACATTTGCTACCAATTTGAAGGATTTAAAAAATCTTGCTAGTCCAAATAGTACTTGAGCAAATAGCCGTGTGTGACTTTTTCACACCTGTAGAGGAACCTCTGCAGGATAAATTCCTAGAAATGAATTACCTTTCCAAAGAGCTTGTCCTCCTCCTAGTCCCCTCCTGTTCCTTCCTCTCTCCCTTCCCTCAATCTCTATGGAGAGTATTTGCCCTTCATAGGTAGATATAATAGAGTAACATCAACATAAATTGAACTTGACTTCCTCAAATATATTTAAAAAAAGGTATTTGAATTATTTTCTGAATATCTTTCCCTTTTATCTAATGCAAGAGGGATGAAGGAAGAGAGTGAAACCTGTGGCTTGCTCTTTGCCCATTGGACATTCTTTTCGTACACCAAAAAAATTCTTAAAACCGTGTGTCCACTTTTCCGCAGGCTTTGGAGAGTGGAGAAAGTAAGACATTGCACAGCAGTCTCTGTAGATGGAGAATATACAATCATGCGTCCTTAACGATGGGAAATGTTTTGAGAAATGCCTCATTAGAAAATTTTGTCAGTGTGCAGACATCACAGAGTGTACTCACACGAACCTGGATGGTGTGGCCTACCAGACACCTAGGCTAAATGTTACAGTCGATTGCTCCTAGGCTACAAACCTGCACAGCATATTACTGCACTTAATACTGTAGGCAGTTGTACCCCAATGGTAAGGATTTATGTATGTGAGCACAGAAAAGGTACAATAAAATACGGTGTCAGAATCTTACGGAACCATCATAGTATATGTGATCCATCATTGACTGAAGTGTCATTAGGCAGTGGATGACTGTATTAACATTTCAATTTCTGAGTTTCCAGTGGGTCCACCCTTTTGACATACAGTGGTTGTCCCCTCTCTCTTTTTCAGACTCCTCAGAACCAATCTTTTACAGGATTTCTTCTGGTGATCTCGGCGGAAAGTTCTCCATTCACCCGCGGCTGGGCACTATTCGCACCCGGAAGCCCCTGGATCACGAGACGCAGCCCGTGGTTGTGCTCACGGTGCAGGCGCAGCTCGGCAGCGCCCCAGCCTGCAGCAGCACCGAGGTCAACATAACAGTCATGGATGTCAATGACAACCACCCAGCGTTCCTCAGGACCTCGGATGAGATTAGAATATCCCAGACCACGCCCCCTGGCACAGCCTTGTACCTCGCACGTGCGGAAGACAGAGACAGTGGGCGGAACGGACTCATCCGGTACTCCATCGCCAGCCCGCAGCCAGGCGTCTTTGCCATCGACAGAGCCCTGGGGGTGCTGTTCCTCAACGGCAGCCTGGGCGCGGGCGAGCAGCGGGAGCTCACGCTGACTCTCAGGGCCGAGGACCAAGGCGTGCATCCTCAGGCAGCCCTGCTGGTGCTGACAGTCGTTATCGAGAAACGCGAACACAGCCCATCCTGGACTTTCGAACATTTGGTCTATCAAGTGGAAGTCAGTGAGTCTCTCTCACCGATGACACAAATGCTGCAAACACAGGCGCACCCACTTGGCCCCCAGCGTGCAGCCTCGCCTCTTAGGTACTCGCTGGAACCCAGCGTAGACTCTGCTATGTTTGGAATCCGCCCTTACACGGGCTGGATTTATTTGCGGCGACAGTTTGACTATGAATCCACCCAAACATATAATTTTAGAGTGTTTGCTTGGATCCCCGAGGACGGATTCTTGCAAAATGTGAGCACTACAGTCATTGTTCGTGTCTGGGATGAGAATGACAATTCCCCCACCTTCTTGCATGATGTGTTGTTTTTGAAAGTCGAAGAGAGCCCTGTTCCCCAAGGGGTAATAGGCAAAATTACAGCTATTGACATGGACTCTGGAAAGAATGGACAGCTATTATATTTCCTTTTGTCTGATGGAAAATTCTTCAAGATGAATCCTAATACAGGTAGCACTTCATAGTTTCCACCTATTCCTTTAAAATGAGGGTTCAGTACTATCACACTCGTCTTTAAGTAAAAATAAAAATAAAAAATTAAACAAAATCAGGATTGAGAAAACTCAAGTCGTTAGGTATAGCATTAGTGCATACATGCAATTGAAATAATGGTTTTTAATAAATAAGGTATTCGATTACTCTATTGTGAGGTCTTAAAAATGGATTAAAAATTGAATAGAGTTTCACCCATAATAATTCATACTTTCCCTGCATCACATCCCCATCTTGCCAATATATGGTTCTTTTTCTGAACTAGAGGTATAGTCAGAACTGGATTGAATATATCCTTGTGTAAAGGCTAATTTTTTCAACAACCATCCTTTTCCATTTGTAGACATTTAAAAAACGTCAAAACGTATTTTGTGAAATATAAATATCATCAATGTAAAGCTAGACATCAATTCATTGGTTAAGATTTCAAAATCACTCTAAGAATATATATCCTTTTTCTCATTCTGACAGGGGAACCAGAGGAAAAGGGGGAATAATTACAGTGAAATTTTTAAAGTCTGAATTAAGAAATTAAAGATTAAAAGTCACTATATTTTAAAATTTATGTTGTATAAGTTTACGGGGAGTTTATTTAATCCTTACAATGAAACATATCTATACTGCAAATACATACCCGGGAAAACTGAAACTCAGATAGCTCGAGTAGTACACCCAAAGTCATGGAGCTGGTAAGATGAGAAGAAGCTCCCTTTTTGTGCAGGTCCAGCAGGCACCATCTATGTCATAACCTGGGCAGATGGTGCTGCTGCCTTTAGTGGGACAGACTTTGCATTCAGTTCTGATGAACTTCAAGCCTTTGTTCTCAAGTCTCTGTTCTGTGAATTAGGAGAAGGTGACCTTTCACAGCAGATGGAGGGTTTTCACAGGGCACATGGCTTGCCAAGAAGGTTGCAAGCTGCCTTTCCACTCTCATTCACTCCCTAAACTGAGACTCCTGCTGCAAGGGCACAAACCATACAGCTATATGGGATGACCCTGCTTGCACTTTACTTCCATATGGCTAGTTTTCAAGGTCTTCTATTTCACTTGTTTTTTTCTTTAAAATAAGCAAACTACAGTTGATTCCCCCGTGATCTTCCCTCCCCTACAAGAAAACGAGGTGTCCATTCCTAATTTCATTGTATGGCTTTAAGCAAGTAGCTTAAGCTCAGAGCTGCTTCCTTACCATGAATACAGGAGACAATTCCTGACACGCCCTGTGCCATGCTTTGAGGGGTAAAGAGCTAAAGAATATGAAAGGGCTTGGAACACTACGTGCTTGTAAACTGTTCCTCCTCCCAAGGACAGCATGGCAAGGCAGGGTGGAGGGTGTCCTTCAGAGCCTGGGAGACACACCCCCTTTTCATCCAGTTCTCTGGACAGTCCTACAAGTGACCAGGACTTGAGCTCCTGTGGAACCATATCCTGGTGTCGCCCATCCCCAGCTGCAGCCTGAGCTGCACAGTCTTTTACATCCCCGACCTCCAAGGCTGCTGCTTATCCATCAGATTTGCTTTATGAATAAAAATCTGTTTGCCATTCAGAAGTTAAGGTCTTCGGAGGAGAATTATAGTTTGGAATTTAAAAAAAGCAATTGTGTGTATGATCTATATTAAAACCACCGAGTAAACACTATAAATATAGTTTATATATTAACAGTAAACAGTTATCATAAACACTGCATTTAAGCTCACCAATTCAGCAACTTACCTAAATGAGAATTTTCATTTTTGTTCCCTGTTTCCACTTTTTTTTAATGCAATGCTATTTTATTTGTATTAAGAGGAAAAAAGTTTTTAGCCACAGAAATGTTTGTCGGTAGCTGCTTCATGCTCACATTCTCACAGGTACATTTTTTTTTCATAAATGGTGAGGAAATCAATGCTTGGCAGAGCTCTGACAGGCTATTGGACCGAGTGCTTGTCTTCCCAAGGTCCCTGGCAATAGGAAGAGGCACTTAGATGTTATGCCTGGGTCTGCATGGCTGACACATGAGGAAAGTTACTGAAGGTAGTATAGCTCTAGGCAGAAATATTTGAAATAAAGCTTCTAAAGCATTAAGAGTTTTTATAGGAAGTCACTATCCACTGCTACATGTATATTTTGTGAGATAAAAAACAAATACTTGTGTGCATAAAACAAGAACTATTGCCTAAGGGATATTATTTGATTTCCAGAAAGGTATTTAGCCATTATGTTAAAGTAGTAATAACAGCTTCCACTTGTGTCGTCATGTATAGCTTGCACAATACTTTTAAATGTGTGATTACATTTCTTCCTGACAGCAGTCCCAGGCTCAGAGGAGTCATTCCATGTCTGAGATGGGGAAACTGGGGCCAAAGCCAGAACCTGTGTCAGAGCTCACATGCTTTCCATCATTCTGTATAGCAGCATAAAGAGGGATAAGCAGCAGTTTTAAATCTTCCAAATCATTACTAAGTTCCCACGGAGTTTTATCATTTTTATGAATTCATTGTTTATTAGTTCAAATGATCGATGGATGATAATTTGAAATACAAAGAATAACAAATTTAAAGTGACATTTTCAGGAGCAACTTGAGAAAATTTTTTCAACAGTACCATAGAGCCAAACTACTATGTAGATGGTCTTAGAAGTCGCATATTTGCTCAAAGCTTTGTACTTGGTTTTCCTTCTGGAAATGGTTCTGGCCCTGGTGCGCCTGGTACACAGTGCCTGTGTCTTGTTCTGCTCTGTACTCTGCAGGAGAGTTAATCAATTGGGTGGCACTGGATCGTGAGCACCGGGGGCACCATGAGATGACTGTGCTAGTGACAGACCGCGGCTCCCCACCACGAAACGCCACCATGGCGGTTTACGTCTCAGTTACTGACATCAATGATAACAGGCCCTTCTTCCCCCAGTGTCTCCCTGGAAAGGAGTTACACGTGAAGGTTTGTGAAGAAACCTTGCAATGAATTTGTAATATCTTAAGTCATTTGTTTTGAGCACCATCTTGTGGTAAAACCTGTGAATTTATCACATCAGTCTTGGTGTGGCAAAGCATACTTTTTCTAGAAGACCTAGATACTGTGCACATGTTATTTTAAAAGAAAATTTTTAAAAAGTAAATGAATATATGTGCTCTTTGGCATTGTACCTCCAGTTGCTTTATAACAATAAGTTTAGTTCAGCCCCTTGTACACAAACTGAATGGTGCTTCAGGTTAATGCTCAGACATGGCTTGTTTTTCCAGTAGTTTACGTGCATCTCTTTGTGCAGAGCTTCTTAACGGCAATTGATACATGTCTCTAAGATAGTTACTTAAGGGTAGGGGAACAACCTGTAGCTCTAAAGTGGGTAGGTGGAAATCCAGAGATAGTAAAAGTTGATCCTTTTGATCACATGCACCAACTGGCAATTATATTTATATTATCTCATCTTTTTCATTTGTCTTTTTGTATGTTGTATAATATACATAATAAATTAGAATATCAGTTCATTCACATAATTAATAAATATGTTTGGACCTACTAATAATTTTTTTAGTGGATGGGTTATAATAATGAAAAGTTTAGAAGCTACTGTTCCAGAACAATTGAATTAGACATTCAAATTGTGCTCAAATATACATATTGAACAACTCAACAAAAGTATTGAGGAACTCATAACTTTAAACTGATCTGAATCCAGCTTTAAAGAAAAATTCTAACAAAGCAAAATATTATTATATCATCATTACACTTTTTAATCATATCATTAAAATGTCCTGTGGCTTAATTGGGCAGTTGGACTCTAAACATGTAGTTGAACTTCACATGTGCATTTCAACATTGCAGGACAGCTCCTGATAATTGGTATGTCCTGCATGAGTTTTGTTTTCTGAATTAAAGGTTCATACTTATTTTAAGCATATTTTAAGCCATAGCAACCACCTTTCAAAAAATGTCCTAAGAGATGATGAATGAGAATATGCTAGAAATCTTAAAATACACCAAAAATCTAAGATTGTTTAGCAAGTTCAATTTCTTTTTCTTTTGGTCAGAATTAGTTCAGATGCCTCAGATAATTCATTCTAATTGAATAAAAGATTTAATATGTAAGGAGGATTCTTTTCATGGACATACACCCATATAACTTTTACATGGTATGCATTTGAATTATATGTGGATTTTAAGATAGTTTAAAATGTTTAGTATAATGTATTCATTCATTTAAAGGTCCACTGATATTTCTTTTTAAACTTTTGCTGACTCATTTGTAAGCTGTTTGTTTTAATGGCAGGTTCTGGAAGGTCAACCAGTAAATATGTTGGTTACAACTGTGTTTGCAAAGGATCCTGATGAAGGAAATAATGCAGAAGTTACATACTCAGTATCTTCAGGTAAAACTTACTGTTCATACGGGATTAAGAACTTTTAGGATTTCTGCTTTCATTTATCAACTATCCCCTTCTGGGAAAAGAAGTTCTATTTTGATTACTTTGAATGCTGTAGTTAGTTTTGAAAAAGCACCAAGTTACAAACAAAATACATTTGCTATTGTCAAGAACTACTTTCAGTTTTTGAAAAGTAATTTAAAGTTTAATAAAAAATCAGAGTAGCTTTTTACGTTCTTAATAGAAACCATTCATCTTTAGTGAGTAATTTGCAATAATGTGAAGTACAAATTTACTTTTATTGATAGGAAAGTGTTAGTTAGGGGATAAGAATTGGTATTAAGTATGACTAAGAGTTCCAAGCATCTATAAATCTTTATGAAGACTGAATACTTGTAAGGTCAGAGTAAATCATGCCTAGAAAATGTCACATGTATACATGCGTGTGTGTATGGGGAAATTTTATTGAAGTGGGCTTACTATTATGTTTTCTGTTGGAACATGCAGGCCCCAGATTTTTTCCAGTTATTTACTTTAATTGGCATTGTGTTTTATATAATTTTAAAAGACATTTGGTGCTTTGTCATGTTTGACACAAACATAGGACATAGGAAAGAAGAGATAACATTGCCCTTTCCCACAGATAGTTTGATTGTCTGCATGGAAAACCCAAGAGATGCTATAGGCAACCCATTGGAATTAATAAAATAGCCAATTTTCTGAGAATAATGTCAACATACGAAACTCACTGGTATTTTTAAAACTTAGCAGTTTCCAAAGATCTCATTCACTATGGTGAATTCACAAAGAAAATGAAAGGGGGTAGGAGCAGATCTACTGTGAAACTAATGAAGCTAAGTTTTGCGGTGTTTTACTTGCATAGCCTCCCCAGGGAGCGGGAAGTGGACAATTTATTTTTCTTAAGGAGTGCCTCTCAAACTGTACAAACTTCAAAACAACACAGATAGGATCTGTCTCTATTAGGGGCATAGAAAAAATTCCAATATAACTTGTATAAGACTTTCATACAGAAAAATATAAAATATTAATGAAGGACATAAAAGAATGAAATGAAAAGCTGTATCATGTTCATGCTTGGGAAGACTCAATATCCTAAAGATTACAATTCTTAACAAAAATATCATTATTAATTCAGTATGATTTCAATCAAATGTTCAATGAGGCTTTGATAGAATTTGACAAGCTGATTCTAAACATCATGTGGAAAAGCAAAAGACAAGGAATAACTAAGACAATGTCCAAATAACAAGTGGGAAGTTGGCCTTACCCAGTCTTAATTTATAAAATTTCATAATTAAAACACTATTGTATTGATTCACTCATTAATAAATGGGCCAGTTAAAAAGAGTAGGGGTCACACTTTACACGTACGGAAACTTGACATATGAGGGGGTAGAAAATAAATGGGGAAAAGATGGACTATCAATACGTGATGCTGATATGATCGGTTACCTACAAGGAAAAATATCTCTACTCTCAGCATATCAAAGATGAGTCTTATTAAATGTAGAAATCTTTAACTCTTACAAAAGAAAATATGAGACTGGTTATATATATGGCATTGAGAATAAAGAAGACGGTTTAAACAAGAAGAAATGCAGAAGCTCACAAAGAAATAGATAAATAAAACTAAATGAAAATTGAAAACACTACAAAATATGCCATTGTTTACAATGTGACTATTCAAGTCACAAGTTGGGAAAAGATAATTATAGTCCAGTAACCAATACAAAATTAGTATTCAGAATTTATTAAGAACTCCTGCAAACCAGTAAGAAAAACCAGTAAATAAATAATAAAATTGGACAAAGAATGTTAACAGACAACTCAAAGAAAAGAAGCCTGAATAATTAAAAAGGTTTTTAAAGCATGCCCAGACTCCTTGTTGTGACGACTTCGAAGAACAATGAAGCAATATCTGATAAGACTGGAGATGTGCTTATGCTATACCCTTGCAGTTCTACTTCTGTTACCCTAGAGGAACTCTATATGTGCAGAGTGAGACTGTAACAGGATATTCATTGAAGCATTGTTTCAGTTGTCTGCATAATATGGTATATTCACGGAATACTATACAGCAATGAAAATGAATACAATAGAATTTCATACATGGCAGTGTGGATAAATATTGAATCCAAAGTTAAGCAAGGAAGGCAAGGATTTTACAGAAGATAAAAAGAATTTGACGCAAACAGCAGCTTTGAGTTCATTGCATTGCTTTTCCTTGGAAAAGTTACATATGCAGTTCTTCTCAATACCTCCATGGTCAGGGAGCCAAATTCTTCTCTGATGTTTCTATGCCCATATAAACCATCCGAACTTATTTACCTATAAATGTCTTCCCAAGTTCTCAGGACACTTGAATGGTGGATTATACAGAGGTAGTGAGCCTGCAGCAGATCCACATTTGGAGACAGCCCTTCCTCTGTGTTCCTGCTGTCCCCTCCTTCAGAGACTCTTTCCCCATTCTCCCCCTCTTTTTTTGTCTTCCCTTTTGTTACTTCTCAAATTTCTCTTTTTGTTGTCTTAGCTTATTTTAATCTGGTCCTTGGGTGGGAGAAAAACTGGCTTTGCAGGTATGCATTCAAGAATCTTTCTCTGGCTATGAGGTCAGTTAGGTCAATAAGATCTTTATATCTTTTTTTCCTGTCTTATTTTGGGGTGGAGAAGACAACATAGTGTACCTGTGAAGGACAATGATTGTGAAGAGGGAAAATACACACACACACACACACACACACACACACACACACACACACACGGCTATAATCCTGCTATAATACCACTATTTAAAAGCAAGCAAAGCCATGGCATATGTTATTTATGGATGTATGGACTTCAAAGATAAACCTCAACTTCAGTTATAAAAGTGACTTTCTACGGGGAAAAAGGAGGGGAATGAGATTTGGAGCTATATACAGATCCACTCCTTTATTCATACTCTGCCATTTCTTGGAAAAAATTGAAAAAATATTGAAAATTAATCAGTCTAAGAAGTGATACTTTGGTGTTCATCGAAATATTCTTTTTTTATAAATTAGCTTTTAAATGATAATTGAGGCATGTCAATACAAAAATATGGAGATATATATTACATTATTCCCATCTTTATTTTTTATCTGATAGTAAAATAGAAGCAACTACAAAATATATGGTAAAATAATGAGATGAAAATTGGTATAAGGGGAATAAAGGTATGTATCATATTCATGAATGCATTCTATAGTATTTCTGTGAGAACAAAATCAATGGATTAAAGCATAGAAATCACAACTAATAAATGTTACATAATTGCCTGCTCCATGCTATGAGTTTCTTGAAGACAGGGGTTCTTTTTTATTTGCTTTTATGTCCCTAAAAACTGATAAGGTATTTGGTCCATAGTAATGACTCAGCAACTGTTGAACTAAAGAATGGAGGGGAGCTTCTACTCAAGACTTGTCTGAGGTTTGAACTGTTTGAAATGTTCAGATTTTATTGAAGAATACAAATCTGTTATTTAACTCAAAACCTTATGATACCAATCTAAATTATAAGCATCAATATGAATGTATAGATGTGTGCATGTGTATTCTCCGTGCACTGAAAAGGCCTAGAAGTGATGACAAACCCAGAAACGATGAGCACCTCTAATGTCCCAAATATGTTCTCCCAAAACCATTTTCCACCAAAGGAACCAGGAGTCCTTGGAGAAATGATGATGTCAGGTCATGGTCAGGAAATCTACAAGATGAGTCTGCACCATTTTGTCATACCAGTTACAAGGAGGCTACTAAACACTATTAGGATCATGGAAAGAGACCCGGGAACCAACTTTAAGAAGATCCCAATGTTTGGTGATGGGACAGTTTGAGCATCAATAAGGATAAAAATGGCAATATATTGAAATACAACTAATATGTTTAAATCATGCTTAACGATTTCCAAAACAAAAGCAAGACAAAATTTTACTTATCATAGTTGGAACATTGGTGGATGTTAGTGAACCAACCCATTATTTCAAAAACTGTTAAATAAAAGTTTAACTCATCGAGCATTTATCCTGCCTTTCTTATAATGAACTCCTCTGAAAGTTTCTATTTATTGAAATATTCCAGCTAATACATGAAAAAGGGATGATAAACCAGAATGCAGTGCATATTGAGTATCCTTAATCTAAAATGCTTGGGACCAGAAGTGTTTCAGCTTTTGGATTTTTTTTTTTGGTGGGTTTTTTTTGGGGGGAGGGATATTTGCATATACATATTGAGATATCTTGGGGATGAGACCCAAGTCTAAACATGAAATTCATTTTTTATATACATCTATATGCATAGCCTGAAGGTAATTTTATACAATATTTTTTATAACTTTGTGCATGAAACAAAGTTTTGACTGTGTTTTGACTGCAATCCATCAGATGAATCAGGCGTAGAGTTTTTCTTGTTGTAGCATCATGTCAGTACTCAAAAAGTTTTGGATTTTGGAATATTTTGGATCTCATATTTTTTGGATTTGGGATGTCAACTTGCATTATACTTCACAAAACTTAAAGAATAATTAATGGATCTAGGCTGTGCATCAGTGGGGGGCCAACATCAAAAATAACTAGCTTTTGGCCCATGCCTGTAGTCCCAGCTATCTGGGAGGCCAAGGTGTGAGGATAGCTTGCGACCCTGAACTCCAGGCTGCAGTGAGCTATCATGGCACAATTGCGCTCCAGCCTGGGTAACAGAAAGAGACTTCATCTTTTTTTTTTTTTTTGGCAGCTAGACCTATGCCTCTGAAGGGAAAAACAGCATTTGGGAAGCAGTCGTGCAAAAAACAAACAAACAAACAAACAAACAAAATCCTGACCTGAATCTGGTCAGTTCTCTAGATCTGCCTCCCAATTTAAGGAAAACATAAGAATAGAGGAACATATTATGCTACACGTTGGAGATGCAACAGCAAATCTAGATCATGGAAAATGTCAGGATACAAGTTCCAGTTTATTCAACAAATAAATTGCAAGGACAAATAGAGAGATGGGTGGCAGGAATCCATAGATTAAAGAAATATGCAATATATGGACTTTATTTTGATCTTAATGTAAACAAGAAAAATAAAGAGTATTTATGGGATGGTTGAAAATTTGAAAACTTACTGAATATTTGGTGATACTGTGAACCATTATTAATTTTTAAGGTATAATATGGTACTGTGATGATTGTGTTAAAATATTTATTTTTTAAAGATGCATTTTGAAATATATACAGAAGAAATAATATGACTTCTGGAACTTACTTCAAAAAAAATGGGAGAAGCGAAGTATATACATGGGGAATAGATGAAATAAGATTGGCCATGAGCTGATCATTGTTGAAGCTAGGTGATGGACTCGTGAAAGTTTATTATACCATTTTGTCCACTTTTTTGTATGCATTTTCCATAATAAAAATTTTTAAAAAGTGATGTTTCTTGTCTATTTTTAGTGTCATTTTTGTGTTCATACTCTCATAGAATTCAAAGCAAACAAATCTTCCAAATGATCGATATATTGGATTAATTGATTTTCTGTTTTCTGCATTGTCAATTAACATTCATTTCTTAATTTTCTTGTGTGTGTAGAAGATAGTTCTGATCACTTTAAGATTGACGCCAACAATGGTGAAATAAGAACAACCACAATACTTTCGTATGATTATAGACCTTCCTACAGAATGAGTGTCATTGCCACTGACCAGGGAGTGCCTCCTCTTCAAGGACAGGCAGTTGTTAATATTCAGGTAATGTTGTCACCATAAAATATGGAAGGACATCTAAAGATTTCATTTGACTTTCATTACAAGTTTATAGAGTGAAGATACATGTAATATGTATGTATATGAATATGTATGTATGTTACATGAATACTATTTTGAGAGCATTGCACATAGCATACTTAGCTTTTTGCTATCACTAGAAAAATGATTTAGACCCAAATTATTTTGCAAATTAGCTTTGTACAGTTCTTGACAAGATAATCATCACTATATTGGCATTTATGTTGCTTTGTTTATAATGGACAAAAGGTATCTTTTCTTGTGCTTATTTCTAATGTCAAGGCTCTGGTAAATTTGCAGGAGACACTTGTATGTAAACAAATGGCCATATAATAAATGACATAGATTTTTGTAATTTTTTTAATTTAGAAAAGTAACTCCAGATTCATATTTTAAGGCTTTACTTTAATCATAATGGGCAAACAAGTTGTGAGAAGTCTCCATAGTAAGAAAAAAATTACACCAACCACTCAAAGAAAGATGACTGTGCATAGTTTCTTTGTGTGTGCATGTGATAATCAGAAATATTAATACAGGTATATACAATAACCAAGGATATATATCCACAAGAACTCTGTTTCCAAATTATATTCTTTACTGCTTAAGGGTATGTGGGTTAAGAGAAAAATCTGTATGGTCATACCTCCAGTTTCTTGTTTCAGACAAACAAAGACATATGATACTTAAATGTACACAGATGTTGTCATTATGGATAGATCAGTCTGTAGTATTTAAAATAATCTGGAGAACTAGCTACCCTGCATTCCCATTGAAGAATCACAAGGCTACAGTTCAGCTTAACTATAACATGGCTTTACCAAACTGTTGTTTCACACAATACAGCAAACTGGGAAATAGAAAATTCTGTAGCTGTTATCTCCTAAATATTATGCAGTTTTTGATCTTCTGAGACATACTGGAATTATATAATATAAAAATGACATTTTTCTCACTAATTAACATATGATCACATACATGGAAGGAATTTGCTTTCAAAATAATATTATTACATTTATTCATTAAACTGTTTTAAAAATACCCCAAATTAATATCTCTTTTATTCGTATTTCAGGTGATCCCACTATCCAAAGGGAGAGCAATCATGTCTCAGAATATTAGACATTTAATTATACCAGAAAATTTGAAGCCCACAAAAATAATGAGCTTGATAAAGTCATCTGATCACCTTCAACAACATTATAATGGAAAGTTACATTTTAGTATTGTTGCAGATGATAAGGATGGACACTTTGAAATAGACAGCTCAACCGGAGACTTGTTTCTTTCTAAGGAACTTGATTATGAGACGACATCTCATTATCTTTTCAGAGTGATTACTACAGACCATAGCAAAAACCTTTCCCTGAGTAGCACAGTCTTCCTTAGTATCGATGTGGAAGATCAGAATGACCATTCCCCATCTTTCCAGGATGAGCTCATTGTGATCAGTGTAGAGGAGAATGTTCCCATAGGAACCCTGGTGTATGTCTTCAATGCCAAAGATGATGACGGCAGTTTTTTGAACAGTAGAATACAATACTACATTGAATCCCACAACCCTGGCACGAATCCATTTCTCATCCACCCCTCATTTGGCACACTAGTCACTGTGTCCCGTCTTGACAGAGAAAGCATTCCAACTGTCATCCTGACAGTAACAGCATCTGATCAGGCTGTGAATGTGACAGACCGGCGACTGAGATCACTGACAGCACAAATAGTGATTTTGGATGTAAATGACCACAACCCCACTTTTATTTCTTTCCCCAATGCCCATGTCAAAGAGGATGTCACAGTGGGCTCCTTGGTCCACCACATAACTGCTCACGATCCAGACGAAGGAAGGAATGGAAAAGTAACATACAGCATCCTCTCAGGAAATGAAAACATGACGTTTATGCTAGATGAGTCATCAGGTACAGTGCCCTATATGTCACTTTTAAAAATATTTTATTTTATTGTGGTAAGAAAACATGAGACCCACCCTCCTAACAAAGTTTTAAGTGTACAATACATTGTTGTTGACTGTGAGTTCAATGTTGCACAGCGTATCTCTAGATATTATTTACCTTGCTTAACTGAAACTTTAGTTTCTCCCATTTTCCCTTCCATCCAGCCTCTGACAATCACCACTGCACTCTTTGATTCCATGAATTAGACTATTTTAGATACTTCATGTAAATGGAATAATGGAGTTTTGTCTTTTTGTGACTGGCTTATTTTACCTAGCAAAATGTCCTCAAGATTTATCCATACTGTCACATCTTGTAGAATGTCTTTCTCTTTTAAGGCTGAATTGTCTTCAATGGTATGCACATACCACATTTTCTTTATCCATTCATCTGCCGATTAACATTTTTAGGTTGTTGCCACATCTTAGCTATTGTGGATGGTGCTGCAGTAAACATGGGTGTGTTACTCTCTCTTCAAGATCCTGATTTCAATTCTTTTGTATAAATATCCAAAAGTGGAGTTGCTGGGCCATATGGTAGTTATAGTTTTATGTTTTGAGGAACATCCATACTATTTTCCATAGTGGCTGTAACATTTTGAATTCCCACCAACAGTATACAAGGGTTCCAATTTCTCTACGCCCTCACCAATACTTGTTGTCTTTTTTTTTTTTTTTTTTTTTTTTAGTAACAGCCATCCTAACAGGTATAAGCAATATCTCGTTGTGGTTTTGATTTGCATTTCTCAAATAATTAGTGCCATGGAGCATTTTTTCATATACCTGTTAGCCATTTGTATGTCTTTTTTGGAGATGTTTCTATTCAAGTCTTTTGTCCATTTTAAAATTAGGGTTTTTTTATGTTTAGTTGTAGGAGTTTTTTTATATATATTCTGGATATTAACCCCTCATCAGATAGATGATTTACAAATACTTTCTCCCATTCTATAGGTTGCCTTTTTCTTTGCTGTGCAGAAGCTTCTTAATTTTATGTAATCCGCCTGTTTATTTTTGATTTGTAATCTGTGTTTTTGTTGTCTACCCATGAAATAATTGCCAAGACCCACTTCACAAAGCTTTCCCCTCTGTGTTTCCTTGTAGGACCTTTATAGTTTCAGGTATTACATTTAAGTCTTTAATCCATTTTATTTTGTTTTATTTTTGTATAGTGTAAGATAAAGATACAACTTCATTCTTTTGCATGTGGATATCTGGTTTCCCCACATCATTTGTTGAAGAGATTAGCCTTTTTCGAAAGTGTAGTATTGGAAACCTTGTTGAAGATCAATTGACCATATATGGGTGGATTTATTTCTGGGCTCTTTACTCTGTTCCATTGGCCTAAATGTTTATCCTATGCCAATACCATACTGTTTTGATTATGGTAGCTTTGTAATATATCAAAGCCAGGAAGTGTGATGCCTCCAGCTTTGTTCTTTCTCAAGATTATTTTCACTCTTTGGGGTTCTTTGAGATTCCATTTGAATTGCGATATTATTTTTTTCTATTTCTACAACAAATGCCACTGAGATTTTGGTAGAGATTGCATTGAATCTGTAGATCAGTTTGGGTAGTATGAACATTTTAATAATATTAGACCTTTCACTCTATGAACATACATGTCTTTCCATTTGTATCTTCTTTAATTTCTTTCATCATTGTTTTGTGGCTTTCAATATGTAGGGTACTCACCTCCTCAGCTAGCTTTATCCCTGTTTTCTTTTATTCCTTTTTGTGCTATTGTCAATGGAATTGTTTTTCTAATTTCCTTTTCAGACAGTTCCTTGTTAGTGTATAGAAATGCAACTGATTTTTGTATCCTGCCTTTTCTGAATTTATTTGTTCTAACAGTTTTTTGGTGGAGTCTTTAGGATTTTCTATATATAAGATCATGTAATCTACAAACAGGGATAATTTTACTTCTTTCTTTCTGATTTGGATGACTTTCATTTCTCTTCCTGCCACTTTCAATTAAACCCTCTCATCGCTTGCTTATATTTAACTTTTTCTTTTTTTTCTCTTAAAATGATGGTTCTTAAGATACATATGCTTTAAATATTTTTGACTTCTTCTGTTGTTTAACTTATATATGTATATATGTATATACTTATATAACGTATATATACGTATGCATATATATATAAAATAGACACAGGGTTTGTATTTGGAGAACTAACTTTAATGGTCCTGTTTGTTAATATTAACTATGCTCTGTAGCTAGCTGACACTATGGGCTGAATACACAACAGAAAACTTCTTTGCCCCCATTGTGAGTCCTTGCAGGGTAGGATATGGTACCAATAGTGAATCAGGTAGCAGTATGACAAATCAACAGCATTGTTCAAAGACTTTAGTATGGAAATTTATCTTTGAGATTATACAAACATGTATTCGTAAATATTGGAAATAATATATATTTTTAATGGCTGAATTCATTTGGACATTAAGACCCCTGCTTTTCACATCAATTGTAACATTTCTTTTTTTGAAGAAGCATTTATTCACTGTCAGGTACTCTGCAGAAATGTCACTCACCCTCAACTTTACTTGTCTTGCTGTCACCATGTTGCTAGATAACATCTATTATATGTTTTTTATGTAGTTTGATGGAAGAGTAAATGTACAAATTTTCAGTCTTATGACTTTAAAAATGAACCTCCTACCTGATTTTCAGGGAATATTGAAAAATTAATAAACTCTCATCTTATTCACTAAAAAATAAAGTTATTTCTACATGAATGAAAAAAATCTCAGATATACACCATTTGGCCCAACTGTTAGTTAAAAGCATTATTTGGAATGGAGTTAAATGTGGAGGATTTGGAAGTCATGATTATAGTCTGGCTATATTCCGTTGGAAAATTTCATCAAAATATTTATTAAATCTTGTACATGTGGTTTCATTCTGAGGCATGCATGGACACCACCTAAATGCCCAACTGACAGAGAAATAGTCCAGACACAGGCTGCTGATATCTGTTAGAGCTGAGGCTCTCCAAGGACCTGTTTCAGTAATACTTGGAATGTGTTCCAAGATGGCTAAGAAAGGTATATTTCAGATTGTTAAAAAGAATGGATAAAATTAAACTTGTGTTTTGGTAATATAGGTAATGTGAATCTCTTGAGTAATTGCAGTGACTGTTTCAATGGAGATGTTTTTCAAAGACATAAAATGATAATTGCCAAATGCATTCATATGAGATGGGATTTTTTTCTCTCACAAAACTCATATTTCTTATAAAGAAGACAGTGAGTTTTTTGTGGCTATGGCTGTGAAATATAAAGTGATGAGTAATTATTGAAAAATTATTTTATAAAATAGAATTCCGTAAACTTCTTTCATTATTTCAAGAAAAATTCTTATAAAAGGGAGAAGCAAACAGCAATCCTAAAAGAAAAATGTGATAATTGGAATCATATAATGGCTATCTGTGTGCCAGTATGTATTACATCTGACTTATGTGGTTTATATGCTTAAATGGCAGTGGGATAGAGACACATTTTACTTGTGAAGTGTATTGTCTGAGTTATAACATCTTTGCTTTTTTTTCTTTTTTATTGAGATGGAGTCTTGCTCTGTTGCCCAGGCTAGAGTGCAGTGGCACGATCTCAGCTCACTACAGCTTCCGCCTCCCAGGTTCCAGTGATTCTCCTGCCTCAGCCTCCCGAGCAGCTGAGATTACAGGCACCCGCCACCATGCCTGGCTAGTTTTTTGTGTTTTTAGAGGAGATGGAGTTTCACCATGTTGGCCAGGCTGGTCTTGAACACCTAACCTCAAGTGATCCTCCTGCCTTGGCCTCCCAAAGTGCTGGGATTACAAGTGTAAGCCGCCACACCCAGCCTGAGCCACTACACCTGGCCTGCTCTTTATTGTTAAAAAAAATCCAGTTAACTGAGAATAAATATTAAGAGAGCATAATTCTTTAACAAAAATCAACCGTCTTAAAGAATATAGCCATACCCACATTTTTGTAACTTGGTCGCTTTTATACATGAGGTGTTATGTGACATGAAGATGATATATATTGTTAGTATCCTAGATATTTTTTAAAAGGGAGGTAGATGTTGGCTAGAGAATTTTAATGTAATCCTCTCAGTAGATAATTGCATAACATTGATTATTCTTGAATTGTTTTGTTTGATATAATTTAAATTGAGATGACTTTTCTGACTAAAAATGTTTGCTTTTAATTGTAGATAGTGTATACATTTAAAGATGATTTAATGCAGTTCATATTTTAGCAGTTAAGACTTCTGAATTTTTATTAGGTAGACAAGTTAGATATAAGTGGAGTAAGCATGACTTCTCTAAAGAATATTCATTACATGTTGCTTTTCTTCCATTTTCAAAACAGGCTTACTAACCACAACCTGTCCTTTGGATTATGAAATGAAAACTCAGCATATTCTGACTGTTCTGGCACTGGATGATGGCACACCAGCACTTTCTTCATCCCAGACTTTGACAGTTACTGTTCTTGATGTAAATGATGAAGCTCCAGTATTTAAGCAGCACCTGTATGAAGCCTCAGTGAAAGAAAACCAAAATCCAGGGGAGTTTGTTACCAGGGTTGAAGCTCTGGACAGAGATTCAGGTAATTTAGAAATACAGAAACTGGGTATTTAATGCTTAAAAGAAATTGAAGATTATAATTGACGTAATTTATAATAGTTATGGCTCAGAAAAAATGAACAGTTGCTAGTTATCTCAAATTTGTAATACTTCTTTCATTTGCATCCACACAGAAACACATACACCTGTAAAGATACAGATATATCACATAAGATTTGCTTGTATTAACTTTATTATTATTTATATTAGGGTGATACACACCTTATTAACATACACTTTATTGATTTGATCTTGATAATCGAAGTATGGACAAAGCATCACATTTCTTTCAGAGTATAATAGTTAGATACATTGAGAAGAAGAAGAAGATAAATGGTTCTTTATTTCCTCTGTATATATAGCATAGTGGAAGAGGCATGGTGCTGGTGTCAGACTGCCTAGATTTGAATCCAAAACTACCATTTACTTATGCCATGTGACCTTGAACAAGTTACTAATTCTTTCTATTTCCCTACTTATCTGTGATATGGAGATAATAACAGAGCCTAAATTATAGTTTGTTATGAGTATGAATGAATTATTACTTGTAAAGAGCTTAGACCAGTGTCTGACACAATAAATGGTCAATATGTTAACTTTGTTACTATTTTTACTATTTTCAAACACTATGTCCAGACAAATGACTTCGGAGTAAACAATTACTATGGCTAGGAATTTATAAATTTCTTAGACTTGCTTTTCAACATCACTGTGGCTGTTTTGGCAACTAAGGTTCAGCAACTTTAACCATATTCTGTTTTTATCTTAAACAAAATAATTACAAAAATTACAGTGCTGTGTTTC
The DNA here is from genome assembly GCF_000001405.40 of Homo sapiens. NCBI lineage: Eukaryota > Metazoa > Chordata > Mammalia > Primates > Hominidae > Homo > Homo sapiens. The sequence continues at coordinate 242,555 of NW_017363814.1, read as the reverse complement.
TTATTCACAGCACATGCTGAATTTTTCCATCTGAACTAATATGAATAGTTTATATTCCCATTCACATGTGAAACACTGAACTAATGTAAATATGAATATTATATGAATATAAACTATTCGTGTTAGTTCACCTTAATAATCCGGTCTTTTAAAATTTACGTTTGTATATAGCAAATGGCATTATATATCAATGTAATATTTTGTTATATTTTTGCAAGAATTGTAATAGATATTTTTATGGAAATAGTATTAATAATAGCATTTCCTTGTACATTGTTAATTTAAGGGGCAAAAGATACATTTACTTGAAATTTTAAAGTAAATTATAAAATATTTGAATACTTTGCCCTCTTGGAAAACACTGTCTTTTAATGAAATGCATTTTACATGAATTTGTATGTGATGTTACTAACACTCTTTTCAAGGGCTAACCCAATTTTCTGTCTTTGACCGGAGTGGGGCAGTGTGATCAAAGAGTTTTTCTAAGAGTTGAGTCCGAAGCATGCTAACGATTGTTTGCTCCAATCTGTCCTTAGAACTTAGTACGTTTTTGGCAGTATTCATTTTTAGGGTGTCAGAAACAATGAAGAATATACATAAGCTTTGTGTTTCACAATAATTTTAGCTCAGTAAAGTTCTCTTAGAGTGTTCTCTGTAGAAACAGAGCAATACAGGGTGCTGAGCAATGCAAAAACTACTTCCCAAAGTATATAGACATATACTGAACTTATTGCTGATGTTGTGTGATTTTGCAAACAGTAAGGTATGTAAAATGCTTCCTCCCTTTGGCCTTGCTTTATTTTATGAATTTTATTTTTTTGTAATGGATTCTACTAAAAAGGCTCCTCTTGCTTTAATGCTTGAAGAGGGAGAAAAGAATTTCTCTCAAAATTTGCATATATTAACCAAAGAAAATTACCATAAATATATTCTTCTGATTTTTACTGTCAAGTTGCCCAGTGTTAATGTTATTTTCATTTAGAATGAATTATCTGCAACCTGCTAATTATAATTGAATTGAAACTTTATTATTCTAGAGATTATGGTATGCCAACTGAGAATTTAGGTACAAAATTATTGTTTTTCTGAATTAATGGATGATTGAAATACACATTAACATCTTCATGAGTCTCATGTAACCTTACATATTTTGGAGACAATTTTGATTTACTGGAAATCTCAGTGTTTTTAATGAGGCCAGGTCTGTTAAGTAGGTGGTTATGTAAACACATGTGAATATTTGTGTGTATGCACGTACTTTCGAATATATTTTCCCTCAATCTTTTTTTTTCTTTTTTGATTATTGGGTTAAAACAATGAAACAGGATTATGCATGAGAATTAAATGACTTAGTCAAGATTTTAACATAACTGGCATTACACTGGAATTTATGAATGGTTTACTTTATAGTACGTATTTTTTTAAAAAAATACCACAGTGTTCCTTAATACTAGAGAGCTTAACATGTGTTTTCTAGCATTCTACGATGCAGTTTTTAAAAATGTAAGTATACAGTGTTATTTGGCATTCAAAGCCCACAGGGATTTGAGCACTGAATGTTTATGGTATATGACTCACATTAGCTCTAGCAGGAGTTTCTTCTTGTATCAAAAGGAAAAAACAACTACCAGATTTTAACTAAGGTATTAAAACTGCTGCAGCATTTGGTGCCATCAACAAGAGCGCCATTGTTAGTGAAAAAAGAGCTCCCCCTGCAGTGCCCTTCCCCCACTCCCAAGAGGAAAGGGTGCCCCACTGGGAATACCACTCACATTCGCTCAAAGGTGTCAAACGTAAAATAACTTAACAGTATATTGCCACACTGAAATATAGAATTCATTAGTGGATGTTATTCTCTATTCCATAAGAATGTATTCTGTTTCTGGGGTCATCTTCAATAAACTACATCTGGTTTTCTGGAATCCCTGGTGCTGCACTAGGTGTACAACTGCACCGCCTAAGTCTACACTTGGAGCCAGGGAGAAACACCTTATTTCATCAAATCTAAGACACCATTAATTGTAAGATGCATCTAATTTTGGAATACTTCCACTGGGCTGATAGCTTTATCTTCATAGGAAGTTATAAGGTGCCATTCTGTATACCCTTTAGAAGGTGACTTATTTGTGTGTATATCAAAGAATAAAGGATAAGGATGCTAAAATATCTGAATCTATGGCATTTTGTAATAACAATTTCTCATTCGAGTGGACAATACTATCTGGCTATTCAGTTTATTTTAAATGTTTCTTTATGGAGTGATATTTTCTCTGTATCATATACTCAGGCAAAATATCCATCAACTTTCCTCCGTACTTCATTTAAAGAGAACATATCCCTGATCCTTTATTTTTATTTATTTGTGTTTTATTTTTATACAGACGGAATCTCGCTCTGTTCCCCAGGCTGGAGGGCAGTGGCCCAATCATGGCTCACTGTAGCCTCAAATGCCTGGCTTCAAGCCATCCTCCAGCCTCCACCTCCCAAAGTATAGGGATTACAGTTGTGAGTCACAGCGCTGGGTCTCTCTGCACTTTATTAGTAGTTATTCATTGACGTGCCCCGTCATTCTTTCCCCAGTGGCATTTGTCCATCATTTTAGATTCAATCTAATTAATCCAGGGGCACATAAGGAGATCCATAGGATTCAAGCACAAGCCGATCTTACTGGCTTTGTGCCATTCCAGCAACCTCGATTATACTGAAGTCCCAGAGAAGGATTTAAAGGCGGGTTAGATTATAGAGCATTTCAAAAGTTGAATTTCCCAATCCAAAGCTATGGAACATTTGCTAGAGAAAGTCACAACAGCATGCTAATTGAAGCCATCGCCTACTTAGGCTGCAGTATTTCTGCTAATCCCTTAGTGCTGTTATGTTTTCCTTGGCTCTCTCTATATAAATTTTCTCTATATATATATTAAAAAATTCTATTATAAATATATTTGCATAAATATCAAAAATAAGGAGATGAAAAAGAATAAGGACCAGTCATAACCTCACTCACTCAGAGACAATCACTGTTAAAACTTTGGTATATATTCTTAATACATTTAATATATAGTATTATAATTGTGTAAATGTTTATTCACCTGCTTTTTCTCTAGGCTGTGAACTTCTCCTGGATTCAGCACTTTTTATCTATTAATACATTTATTCCAGGTTCTTAGAGTAGTGCAAGATATGACATAGGAACTCAATAAATATTTTTGACCATATGGTCTGAGAAACTGAAGCATGTATGACATAAGCTTCCTCAAGCTGCCCTCACTGTTTAGAATTTATTTATTATTTATTCCTTTATTCAATCAACCAGGCATAATTCTATTTTTGCTTTAGAAATGCCTGATTGTGAGGACATTGTACAGTCGAGGCATTATACAAACAAGAATCTTGGCTGGGCACGGTGGCTCATGCCTGTAATACTAGTGCTTTGGAAGGCCGAGGTGGGAGGATTGCTTGAAGCCAGGAGTTCAAGACCAGCTTGGGCAACATAGCAAGACCTCACCTTTACAAAAAAAAATATAAAAATTTGTTGGGTATGGTGGCATGCTCCTGTAGTCTCAGCTACTCAGGAAGCTGAAGTAGAAGGATGGCTTGAGCCCAGGAATTTGCTGCCGTGAGCCACGACTGTGCCTCTGCACACTCCAGCCTGGGTGGCAGAGTGAGATGCTGTCTTAAAAAAAGAAAAGAAAAGAAAAATGATCTTCCTAAAAATAACACACCCCTGGAAAGAATTCTTTATTAAATCCCCATAGTTTGAGGAAGAGGAGGATAAAATTTTATCCCTTTTAGCTTAACAATCAGCTTTCCTGTCTGTTCTCAGCTCCTAGCACTCTCCCACCTTTTACTCTAGGATAGAATTCTGGAAAACTTTTTCCTTTAAAGGACCAGATAGTAAATATTTTAGGCTTTGTGTGCTTTACGGTCTCCTTTGTGCAACTCTGACACTATAGCAAGACAGCAGCCATAGTTAATATTGTGTGTATTTCAATAAAACTTTACAAAAACAGGGAGCAGGCCAGATTTGATCACTGGACTGTAGTTTGCCAATCCCTAGTCTAATGCATGTGTCTAATTAAGACATCTAAGTTACTTGCTACTTTCTGCTCATCAGATCCAATTATCATGATGTCATCATAATATCTCTACCAACTAGATGATGTCAACAGTGGGAGAGTTTGCATAAAGATGGGTGAAAGCCAATGAGTTCTGATAGTTCTTATAAATTAGTATCAAATGTTGCTTCTCAAAAGGTGGTCCCTGGGACCATTGGCACCATGATCCATCCCCAGTCTACAGAAAACAGCACCCATTCTGCTTTTCAAGGATGCTGATGGCCTTCTAATATCTTTCCCAGTGTACTTATGAAGGTAGGGTCCTCTGATCTCTTGGGAAAGGTAGTGGGAGTGTTTGGTGAGCATGTCATACATGATAAGTTCACTCTAACATTCTCATTTCCTTAAGCTTTGGATTATTTATAGTATTCAAAAGAAGACCTAATGTCTCAACCTCAGTGATTATAGGCTCCCATTGAATCCAACCAATCAAAGAAACTCTCAAGAGACACAGCTCTATGGGCTAACACATTAAATTCTGACTCTCTAGCAAACAGTATCAATATTGTCTATTTATCTATCAATAAATCCAGCCTAAACCAATGTTATATCTTCCTAGGTCTCACATTCTTAGAACTGATTTCCACACATATTCCCCAGGTTTATGCCAATATAACTTAGAAAATATTATTATTCTTTGAAACTATAAGCTTCTTTGACTGAGTCAGATTTGCACTTGGCTACCTGAGTTATGTTGAAATCTGACTCTGGTTATGGGTATTTACATGAATAGTCATCTCCTTACAAGGTATTTATTATACCTGCCACTCAATTTGGGTCTGATCTTCAGGGAGGTTAATTTTAGGCCTTCTATATAGGAGCTTTCCAGCTTTCTAACCATGACTTGAGTTACAGGTTTAAAGCCTCAGCTCATAGTTATCGTTCTATAATTTCCTAGTCCTTTGAAAAACAGTCTTCTGCATCATAGTCCTTTTTACTATTATGTGGTCAAAGTCAGCGCCATTTGGTTCTCTAAGGAATTTGAGTCCTTTAATAGTCACTTTATCACAGTCAAACATGATTGATAATTTAATTAATCGTGACAGCACTCCAAGTATTGAATTCCTAGCATTCCATTTCCCATGGTTAAGGAACTCATAGCTGCATTCAAAGCCTAAGACATAACCAAACCAATCTCAGAGTCCCTGTTACCTGAGACCCAATTCTGGTGCCAAGTGCTCTATCAGCCATGTTTAGTCAGGAAGAATAGATGCTACAAACAGGTGTTGGATGAATGAGTAAGCAAGAAGGGAATACTGAAGTAACCAAAAAGACAAAAACAAAGCTCTAGAAGGCAGCTACCACCCCTAATACTGGGAAAGAAGAAGATGTTTGGATTATCAGACCCTGGGAAGGAAATGAGAGAGGGGGCCTTGCAAAGGAGTAGCAAAACAGACTGAATAGCATTGCTGATGACGACAGTAGGTAACTAGGAAGAAGGAAGTCCCATTTTCTGTCCTTCTGACTTTTGGTCTCCTTCTAGTGTCCTTTTGTGGCAAACCCTAGGAGAGAGGTAGTTGGCAATGGGGAATGTAGTTTGCAGATCCCCAGACCCAGCATCACAGGGTGGAGTACAGAAGAACAGATTTGGATCTGAGACACTATGGTTTAATAAATAATACACCATGTGAAGAACTGAAAAGAGCAGGCAGAGGGAACAACCACTACAAAGGCCTCAGCAGAAAGATGCTTAGTATGTTCAGAGAACAGAAAGGAAGCCAGTGCGATAAGAATATAGCAAGGGAGCAAGTCCATGAAAAGAGGTTGGAAAGATATGCAGAGCCCACATCATATGGGACTTTGTGGACTGTGGTAAGGTATTTAGATTTTCTTTTGAACTCATTCAAATGTTCTTTCTTCCCTCTTACCCATTAACTCCTATTCATCTTTAGGGTTTCCGGTTATATCAAGGCAACTCAACTTACCCATCATGTCTATTCAGGGGGAATTGTCACTGCGAGCTTGCTTATCTGTATCCGGTGCTATATTGTAAGCACCATGAGGGTAGAGAATTTGTCTGTTTACTAGCAGTTATATTTTTAGCACATGGTATGGTATCTTGGCACCTAAGATCACTCTTTATATATGTTAATACAATGAGATAATTAATGACAAACTATATACCTGAGATAAGTCTTCTATGATCCACTCCCTCAGTGATTTCATATATTCCATCACACTTTCCATTACTCGTTGATTTAATCATCTTCCACTCTAGAGAGAAACTCTGAGGTCCAAGGTAACTATTCAGTGGTGCCTTTCCAGTACCTGACATTCAGTATCTGTGCATTCATAAATGAACACATGAATGAATAAATGAATGAACCAACCAAATAGATATGGATGCAAACTGAAGACATGAATGTATAGAGTGAGATGACAATGGCGTGATGGCCAGCACATTGATTGTCAATGCACCCCACTCCTGGAACCAGGAGAAAAATATGTCATAGAGAAACAGACAAAAATATTATTTTTCTTTTATTTTTTACTTCTCTCTTCCTCATGCCTTCCTCCCCTCCCTTCTTTTGTTTCTTTGTTTTTTGTTTTTTTTTTTTAAATTGGTCAGCCATATATGATGCCACAGAGAAGACAAGTTAGGTAAGAACTAGAAATGGCCAGTAGACTTTATAATCAGAAGGTCATTGGTCACTGTAGAAAGAGTAACTGGCAATGGCATGGTTTGAAGCTAGCTGCAGACTGAATATGATTTTCAAAAGAAATTTGGCCACAAAGAGGAGGAGATAAAAGCCTAATTCTTCTTATAGCTAGAGAAGGATATAATTTAAGGAAAAAAATTTTAGGAGAAAGACTAGACCTGACAGGAAAATTCTGAGAGTGTGTTTGAAGAATGACTTTTGCCATTGAGACAGGGAGTAAGGGGTACAGTTGAGTACAGGTGCAGAGGGTGAGGGAGTTCTTTCCCAATGCCTCCTTTCTCTCTGGGAAATGGAAAGGGAAGTGATCTGTGAGAGTAAGCCAGGTAGTGGTCGGGTAGGAGACCTGAATGGAAGAGGGGTGATTATGGACACCTGGAAAGATTGCCAGATACAACAGCACTGCAGTTGTCTCAATCCATGCTGTTGTGAAATTTTCTGTAGCCCCAGCCATCTGTTGGATATTCAAATGGAGTAAAGAGATGGTTGGAATGATCCCAGGCTGAAGCTTTGCTGGAAATCTTTGGCAGAAAGCCCCAGGACCTGAGAAACTATGCAAGGTTGCTAGAGGAATAGCTCATGGGGCCGGACTGGAGAAGGAGAGAAATGAATTGAGGAGAGGTATCCTAGAGCCGGAGGATTAAGAAGTCATGGGACTGCAGGTCTTGAAGTCTAAGAGAAGGTAGATATGTGTGTGTGTGTGTGTGTGTGTGCGCGCGCACATCTGTGTATGTGTGTATTCACACTGGTGTGCATACACACATAGGTATGGGCATATATACACAGGCACACACACACACATATCTTTTAGTGGGCATGTGTCATAAGGATATCACTAAATATCTTCAGATCCAAATTTCCAATTTGCTCAGTGAGGTGATAGAATGAGGCCAAATAACCTCTTTTTAATTTTTATTTTCTTAATTCTCAAGTTTGATGATGCTATGTTTGTTCTGTAGGATTATAAGGGTGTAAGGGTGTAAGGTGCAAGGCACTAGTTAAATTCCAAATAAGCCATAGTAAAATACATTTAATTTACTTCCTAATTTGTAAAGGGTATGAAGTTTGGGGTATGAAAAATGTGTGTATGCAGACTACAGTTATAGGTAAAGATCTTATTTATCCTTAATAATATACTAGGAGGGTTGAAGGTTAATGTATTGTTATCTTAGGGATAAAAAACCTGTATAGAATAATAGAACAAAATAAAATCTGGAAGTTTCTAAAAAGTCAGAGAAATATTGAGTAGAGTGGTGAAGCACATTAGAGGATAATGGGAAGGGACAGCAGAAAGATCTGAATTTATGTGTAAACAATTGAAGACATTTTCTAGGTTTGGCAAGTGGTGAGAATTAAAAATGTATAATATATAGCATTCTATAATATGTAATACAATACATAATATGCAATGGTATATATAATGTGTAAGAAAATCATATAAAATAATATGAAATGGTGTATATATAATGTGTAACAAAATCATATAAATGAGCTCATTCATTTAAAAGATCCATGTAATCTTTTTGAAGACAGAGGTCATATCTGACTCAGCACTCTGTCTTTGGCACATAGTACTATGCTTGGCACCTGATATTTCTCTCTTTTTTTTGAGGAAAAGGAAAGTAAATATAAGATAATATTGTTCCCATTTTTATAATGTAGGCAGAGATAGGAATAACAAATTTTAACAACCTGGAACTTTAAGAAATTCTGTCTTGCTATAGAATAGATTATATGATCCTTAAGTTACTGAAATAATCACTATGACTCTTTAGTAATATCATTAATAATATACGTAATGCCTAATAATAGAATGAAACATTTTGGTGACCTCTGACCATGTCATATCAAATACATTGGTCCTATGTTATTAGACTTTTTTTCTCAGGGTCATTCCAATGCCTGCAGATTATATCTCAAATATATTTCTCCTCCAAGTTATATAGTAATATGATATGTATTTTCATTCTTATATAAAACTAGAATTCTATTTCACTCCTTTCAGCTCTCAGTCCTATATAATATCTGCCAGATCATAATGTAATGAAAATTTACTTTTTAAGACTGGCAAGATGGAAATTTGTAATTGAAGATTTTTTGTTAAGGCCAAAAGAATGACATTTCGTCTTTTATTAAAGTATAACATCATATATTCTCAGTACTGTGTGTACACCTAGATTCTTGTCAGTTAAGAAAGGAACATAGGAAAATAACTGAGAGGAACTTGTGTAAAATGCAATAAATTACAATGGCATGGGACAGACTCATTAAAATTAGTAGTATGAATGATCTTCATAACCAGAGATGGAAATGACGTGATACTTTTCTCAGGGGAGAAATGAAACCACAAAAATATGGGAAGAATTATTTCCAAAATGCATAATAATGTGGTACCACATTTCTCACTCCAGATAGCAGACTGAACACTAAGTCGAAAACAAAACAAACAGAAATACGTGTATAAGCAATTCTAGGTGCTCGCTTCTTGAGGTTGAGAATAAACAGAGTTCTATAACTTAGCACGGGCTTTTAAACAGCAGGTCAATCTACAGAAATTGTCATTTGCCCTGCAAGCTTACAATTAAGTCATTAAATCACAATCAGAGGTGTTAGAAGGAGTAATTAGGAATATGTTGTAGAGTTGCACACTCATAAGAAATTTTTTATGGGAAGGAAAAAATTCTAAGCATTCACTGTGGGGAAGTCTCATAAGACTTTTGAAAATCAAGCATTTCAGCCCATGAGGCTTTTATTTTAGCAAGAACAGCCAAAAGAGGTTTTCTTTTACCTTAATTTAAAGGCTGTTTGAGAATCTTGCCATTTTCATCTATGGCCTAACATGTTCAAAGGAAAAGAAATAGGAAAGTGGATAAATGTATTTCAAAGAAATGATTGCTAAGTTTTTCTTTATATTTTTCTTAAGGAGTCAATTCCAAGCTTCAGTTTGAAATCATGCCAGGTGCTTCATTTGAATTATTCGAGATAAATTCTGACACTGGAGAGGTAGTGACAACCACCATACTTGACAGAGAAATTCAAGAAGTCTTCACCCTTCGAGGTAAGGGATTCTTTGAGTAGGCTAAAAAATAAAAATTAAAAATTAAATTTAAAAAAAACCTGTTAAGTGGTGAAATGTTATATTTTGTTGGGGTGTTTTTAAATAAAATATTATTGAGCCAGTGCTACCTGGTTAGCCTGACATTGTCTAGTTAGAACAACATATTTTAGGTATGAATCAAAGGCCACAATTCATACCGTCTTTGTGTTCTGTGTCAGTACTAGTACGAGATGGGGGATTCCCTTCATTGTCCAGCACCACAACAATCCTCTGCACTGTTGAAGATGAAAACGATCACGCACCAGAGTTTATTGTTTCCAGTTATGACATTGAGGTTCTGGAAAACCAGGAACCAGAGGTTGTCTATACGGTTTTAGCCTCTGATATGGATGCTGGCAATAACAGAGCTGTTGAATATCACATAATTGGTAAGTTTGTTTGTTTGTTTGTTTGTTTGTTTGTTTTTTTAAGACAGAGTCTCACTCTGTCACCCAGGCTGGAGTGCAGTGGCGCGATGGCTCACTGCAACTTCACCTCCCAGGTTCAAGCAATTCTTGTGCCTCAGCCTCCCAAATTGGTAAGTATTTTTAAATTAAAATTTATTCCAGGATGCTGACTGAGTTGACACACACTCTCTGTTGATTACTCTGTGTTTGATACCTGTTGCTTTTCTCTACAAAATACACACCCAGTCAGAACTGACTGGTGCCATGAGCTTTCTCTCTACCTCCTTCTCACAGCCACCTTGAACCACTGCTCTCCACATTCTTTAAAAATCTGCCTTTGCAAACTGCTGTGAATTTTTTTCTATGCTAACATTAGTGGATGTAAGGATGGAAAAGATAGTGTTTTTCTATTTTTGTTGCTTTCATGTGATCAGTTTTAATTTTTTTTAATTTTTCTTGTCTCATAGACAGATTCTTACTGGGTCATTTCATCCAGTCTCTGTCTTTAGCTACCACTGGGATGCCAATGGCTCCCATCTCCATCTGCATCCTAGATCTAGGTCCCGTTAAAGGATATTGTTTTTAAAAGTAAAGTAATAACTCTCATACAAATATAAAAATGGTACCTGCGAATAACTTTTATTTAATTCACTAATGAATAAGTAAACCAAAAAGATGTTAAAATGGGTTCAAGGAGAATTCCAAGAGCCATACACAGGCACATACACACACAAAGGGAATAAGGAATTCTGAAATGCAGAAAAGGTGTATTTGCAAGACAACAATCAGTGCATTTCACCAGATTTACTTGCATTTCTGTGGATAAGAATCATTTACATTATTATCAGTTTTCAACAATTTACAGAGTGGTCAAAATGCGGTGAAGGTGGAAGAACATTCTGATGGCAAAGACACACTGGACACCTGTGCCCCACCCTTCTTTCTTCAATACCAGGACACCTACTAACCTTGTTCCTCCTATTTCAAATTATTTCACAATTTCCTAACAGCCCCAAGGACCCAGTCTTTATATCCAACAGCATTGCATTATCAGTGTGTCCAAAATGACACATCAGCCTCACCCCCTTTCTACCTCCCCCATCATGGTCTGGGTCCTTCTGCTAGTCTCTGCCAGTGATCTTCAGCTTTTTTTTTTTTTTTTTTTTGCTTCACTTACCCTTAAAATAATCTTGAAAACTTATGTACGCAGACATATTTTTATGTTGTCAACTAAACTTTTTTTAAAGAGTAACAAAGGTGTGTTTCCCAGCATATCCTAAATATTGACACATTAAAATAAGACTGTTATATCAATCACCTTTTAAAAGTATTTGATAGAATAAAAAAACCTTAAAAATATATGAAAGGTGTCCAGGTACGGTGGGTCATGGCTGTCATCCCAGCACTTTGGGAGGCCAACGTGGGCGGATCACCTGAGGTCAGGAGTTCGAGACCAGCCTGGCCAACATGGTGAAACCCCACCTCTACTAAAAATACAAAAATTAGCTGGGTGTGGTGGCAGGCACCTGTAATCCCAGCTACTTGGGAGACTGAGGCAGGAGAATCACTTGAACTTAGGAGGCAGAGGTTGCAGTGAGCTGAGATTGTGCCATTGCACTCCCTCCTGGGGGAAAAGAGTGAGACTTTGTCTCAAAAAAAAAAAAAAATATGTGTGTGTGTGGGTGTGTGTGTGTGTGTGTGTGTGTGTGTGTGTATACGTATATCTATTTCATATATATGTGTGTATATATACACGTATATATATTTCATATGTGTGTATATATACACGTATATATATTTCATATATGTGTGTATATATATAAGTATATATATATGAAATATATATAAGTATATATATATGAAAGGCATCCTCCCCTTGTGTCACCTTCCTCTTTCCTGGCTCTGCATGTCTCTTCATGGTCCCAAAGTCTCCACCTGTTCTGCCCAAGCTGAGGCCACCTTCTCAGCCAGGTTGGAAACTGGGAGCTCCGTAGCCCTCGGATGGCTGTGGGACTCAGAAATCTTTCCAGGAGCAGAGAGCATACCTTGGATTGGCAAAGCTGCCTGCCAAGCCACCATGCCCAGGAAATCGGCTAAAAAGGTGACACAGCAAAGGTGATAGAGGAGCCACACAGGAGATAGGCAGGGTTGTCTGCTAAACCTGCCCTTCCAAAAACAAAAGCCAGGCCTAAAACAGCCCCCACAACTCGGCAAAGAAGGGAGTGAGGTGTGTAAGGGGAGAAAGGGGAAGGGGATGCTGGCAAGGATGAGAACCACCCTGCACAAACCAAGACGCCTGCACAGCGCAGTCACAGGGAGCGCAAGGCGCTGGGAATGCCAAGTGAATTGTAAATTTTCATAGCTCACAGACTCTACTGTTTGAAATATGATTTTTTTAAGTTAATAAAAATGTAGAATTTTACTTAAGTTTTTTTCAATTATATGTATGAATGAGCATTTTCAGTTATATGTTTTGCATTTTTACTTCTTCAATCAATATTACCTTTCTACATCCTTGCAGAATTTTACCATAACGTAATGGACTTTTATGCTTAAAATATTGATCATTTTATTATACTTTTCTACAATTAAAATATGTGGATAAATTTAAGACTTCTAAAAATTTCCAATGAACATAAGGTCTCAGTTTTGAAAATTATATTAGATTGTTATTATTATGATTGTAAGATTAAAATAGCAAAAGTGTATTCCAATTTTGACCAATAATAACATAAAAAGTAAAATTGTGTTGTAAATGCATCTCTGAATCAGATTAATGGGTTCCTTTTTTCCAGTGAGTTCATGATTCTCGGAATGCATGTTCCTTTTTGCTAAAATAAGGCAAAGCAGCTGGGTGCAGTGGCTCACGCCTGTAATCCCACCACTTTGGGATGCCAAGGTGGGCAGATCACCTGAGGTCTGGAGTTAATTTGAGACCAGCCTGACCAACATGGAGAAACCTCGTCTCTACTAAAAATACAAAATTAGCCAGTGGCACATGCCTGTAATCCCAGCTACTCGGGAGGCTGAGGCAGGAGAATCGCTTGAACCCGGTAGGCAGAGGTTGAGGTGAGCTGAGATTGCGCCATTGCACTCCAGCCTGGGCAACAAGAACGAAACTCTGTCTCAAAAAATAAAAATAAAAATAAATAAATAAATAAATAAAAATAAGGCAAAAGGCAAAGCACAGTGCCAAGTCTGTTGCTGTTTCTCTTTGTTACAGATGTAAGAACTGAAAATCCTTGCTCACCTTTTTAAAAATGGAAGTATTGTTACAGAAGTTAATTTAGTACTTGTATGCCTTCTGAGTTATATGCCAAAAAGTTAATGAATAGTCTTTATTTTTTCTTTATCTACCACTTGAAAACTTGAATAGGCTCTATAATTTGGTTGATAGCAGAGACACTCTCCCACTGCATAAGGATATCTTCCCAGGCATTAAAATCAGTCACTGTTTTGACATTGAACTTTCAACATTGGGAATGACCACTTTATTTGGCAGCCATTTATTTGGGTGAGAGGGAGACTTTCTTTTTTAATTTGCAAGAAGAGTGCTTATAAAGGTGAATGTGGGAAAGATAAATTCCATGATCCCAGGTGAGCTCTCAGGTAGAGCAATTTTAGGAATAAGGATATTTAAATTGAACTTCTGGAGATTACCACAGAACTACCTGTTTCCAAGTGAATTCCTTAGAAAACTTCAAGTAACCTAGCTGTACTCAGCCCTCATTTTAAAGATGATTGACTGGTCTAAACACCCTTCACTTATTCGCCTAAGCCGGATCATGAATCCTTTCTCCATAACTTATTTTTTCTCCTTAATATCTTTGCAATGTGTTCACTTCCTGCACGCAAATATTGTTTCAGATACCCCTTGTTGCGCAAGTAGATTACTATGACTCCTAACCTTCCCATTTTCATTTTCTTTTCTTTTTTTTTAAAGACAGGCTCTCGATCTGTCACCAAGGCTGTGCAGTGGTGCATTCACAGCTCACCGCAGCAGCACAATCACAGCTCACTGCAGCCTGTACCCCCTGTCAGGCTCAAGCAATTCTCCCACCCCAGCCTCCTGAGCAGCGGGGAATACAGGCACATGTCACCATGCCTGAATAACTTAAAAACTTTTTTTTTTTTTTTTTTGTAGAGATGAGGTCTCACTATGTTGCCCAGGCTGGACTCAAATTCCTGGACTCAAGCAATCCTCCCGCCTTGGTCTCCAAAAGTTCTGGGATTACAGGAACCATCCTATTTTCTAAACAAACTTTGACATTGCTGCCTCGATACTATTCTTAAAATAGAAATTTGATTCATGACACTTTCCTGTCCAAAATCCTTCAGGGGGCTCCCTCATGGATTTCAGGAGAAACTATAGAATCTTCAGCAGTATACAGAGAGCCCTTCACAATTTGACCCCCTGCTTACCTCCCAAATTCATGTCTTTCCTCTACCGCTACTGCCAGCCCTTTTCCTACTTGCCACATACAAACACCCAGGAACCCTGTGTACTAGTCACACCCAAACATTTGCAGCCTGTTAATTCTTATATTCCTAGAACTTCCCACGGGCTCTTTCCTCTGCATAGAACACTCTCCCCAAAACTTGTAGTATGGCTTTCTCCACTTTAGGAGTGAGATTTGATGTCACTTTTTCCAATAAGCATTTCTTGAACTTACTAACATAGGACTATGTGCCCTTTCTCTGTACTTCTCAGAGAAATAGCACCCCTTGGCTAGCACTATCTATATGTACTCATTTAGCACTCTGTACATATGATTTTCACATGGTACTTTAATACCCGAGTATTGACCAGCCTTTCCTTTTAGACTGTGAACTCTTGGAGCTAGGTCATGTCTTACTCCCTTCATATCTGTGATCTTGAGCACAAACTTGGCACATAGTAGATGCTCATCAAATGTTTGCTGAATGACTGAATCACTTTATCAGCCACAAATACTACAGAAATGTGGGTTTGTCCAATCATCTCTACTTTTGGTGTAAATTAACTGTTCCTCATGAATACAAATGCAGGGCCCTCTCCTCCTCCCTAAAGCTACCTATTGCTGTTGTTTCCTTTGAATGCCATTCCACTTGGTCCTCATATGCCTCTGATATGCAGACTCTAGTAAGTTCCCACACTATTGGGCCTGCTCTTCATCCAAGAATATGGCTGGCAAGCATATGAACCACATTTTTCTTCACTAATTTTCAGGGTTATTTAAAAATGTCTTTGAAAGCTTTTTGTCCCTGTGTTCAATTTTAAGTTTTATTCTACTTGATACGATGGAATATAATAAAGGGCAGATTTTTTTTAAGGAATAGATGAATAGAACAATGTCCTTATTTATGTTTTGGAAGAAATAGTCAAGTGTCCAACTAACTCTAACCAAAGTGTTATGATTCTTGTACAAAATGCTGTGGACATGTAGAAGAGAAGGCTTACTGCAATAGTATAACAGGCATGAATACTGTAGTGGGTACTATTTGAGAAAATAACTACAAATCAAATCTGTTCATTTCTGATTGATATCTTAAAAAAGGACATTATATTCTGTTTTTTTTATCCTCATCTATTGTTTTGTGTTAAATAAAACATATATCTTCATCCTCTTATGAGGAAAAATATATTAAAATTAAAAGTTGTAGATGCACACAAAAAATCATACGGCTGCAAATTAGTGAAAGCAAGTGTTCTAATTATTGACTGATTAAAGATAGGCATTGAATCATATTATTCTGTTTATCCCCTCAATAGAAGTTTCATGAGGGCAGAGCCTTTATCATGCTTACTGTTATATCCCCAATATTTACAAAAGTGCTAGGATACAATATAATCGGGAATAAATATATTTTTAATGAATGTATAAATGAATACCATAGATAGTGCTAGCAAAGAGCTGCTACTTTTTCAATTCAAATGAATTTGTAATTGTTTTCTTTAATAGATGGAAATACTGATGAGTGCTTTACTATAAATGAGATGTCAGGAGAACTCTCAACCACTCGTGCTTTGGACCGGGAGCAAATCAGCAATTTTACCCTTGTCATTCTGTGCTCTGACCTGGGAGATCCACCTAGGAGCTCTGTAATACACCTGCAAGTTAGAGTTTTGGATGCCAATGACCACAGTCCTTCTTTTCCCACACTTTATTACCAGTCCTCTGTGAGAGAAGATGCTGAAGTGGGAACAGTGGTTCTTGTGCTTTCAGCTGTGGACAAGGATGAAGGCCTGAATGGGCAAACTGAGTATTTTCTGACTGATGAGGCTTCTGGTGCATTCACCATTGATCCTATGTCAGGCACATTGAAAACCAGCAACACCCTCGACCGTGAAGCCAGATCTCAGCATACATTTAGTGCTGTGGCCAGAGACTGTAGCATCCAGGGTTCACGAAGCACCACTGTAATTATAAAAGTATATGTCACTGATGTTAATGACAATGATCCAGTTTTGGAACAGAACCCTTTTGATGTGTTTCTTTCCCCCGAGTCGCCTACAAACCAGACAACTGTCATTGTGAGAGCTGATGACCTGGACTTGGGGCCCAATGGAACTGTGGTTTTTAGTTTTGCAGAGACCCAGTCAATGTTTTCTATTGATAAATACACAGGAGAAATTCAATTTCAGCAAAATCCATCTTCAGAATACTTCCCTATCTGGCTGCAGTTAAAAGTTACAGACCAGGGCATTCCAGCCAGGACAACCACGGGTCTCTTGGTCATTCACATGGAAGGAGAAGATGTAAAGATTTCCTTCAGCCACCACCTGTATAAAGGGCTCGTGACTGAAAATTGTGAGGCAGGTGAGTGTCCCTTCAAGTTTTTCATATATTGTACCTGTTTTGACAAAATGCTTAAGAGTACGGATTATACTACAAGAGTGCCATTGCGCATTCAGTTATACATTTTTTAGTTCAATGCCTGTTCTTGATATTGGAATAAACATGGTTAAGTGGAACCTGGTCTGAGATGAAATGACAGGGCAGAAGACAGTGAGGACCAAATTCCTTCTGACCTCTAAAGGAGGGCCCTCCCATTAAAGATTCAGTTAGAAAAGCTAATGAATAAGTGGATGGGGAGCCTTCAATCTGATATTCTTACTGTGTTTTCCTGACCTCTTGTCAGAGTTGTTCTTAGTTCCCTTATGTTTGGAATTACTTAATTAAATTTAGCTTTTATCTTTTTAATAGAACTTACTCTGAAAATTCCTTTATTAAATATTACACATAAAAAAGCCTATAGATACTTCTGGAAATAATATAAGCATGTGGTATCCATAAATATCCAGGTAGGTGTACATGTCAAGACATCTGAAGCAATAGGTTGGGACCTCTCTTTGAAGAGCAAATATAACGTGTGAAGGGCATAAGTCTAAATTGAGAGGCGAACTAAAAGTTGCAGGTGTAACAGGAAAGAGGCAAAAGGAAAGGATGACAGTTAAGGAAGCTGTTGAAGCTGACTAGATGTAATTAATCCACACCTGGGTCAGCAGGGTTTCTTGGGCCCCTGTGAAAAATAATGACAACATCATAAAATATTGATTGACATTTCAAGCTGGCTGATGCTTTGCTTGGAACATGAACTCATTACAAACTGCCAGATCATATTTTAGACACCAGAAGATTATTTTTCCTCGTTTGTTCATTTTTTGCTTTCAAATTCCCAAATTCTAGTGGTTTTAAAAGATTGTAAATCCACCTACCAGTGTTGGAATAGCCTTGATATAAATTATTTAATAACATTTTATAGCTGCCAGCGTTATTTTCTCCCCAAATACGCCTGCAATTTTAACCTTTATTTTCAAATGAAAAATAGATGCCTATCGGAAGCTTAAGTTTTCTGTGGGCCACTCACACATTTGATCTATGAGTAGGCACCACTTGTCATCCTGAGTGAATTATTTTTGGTATTATTATACATTTTCATCACTCCAAACTGCTTTTAACATTTTCTTATTCTTTTAAGAAAACAAAAAATTAAAAGTTAAAACAAATAACTCCAGTGTATTGTTATTTGTTTAACATTTCTTTGTTGGAAAGCCCACAGGTTCAGCTTTTGATTAACATTGCATTCATCTATTAACATTATTAAACTTAACATCTCAATTGTTTAAAATAATGTATAGTTTCTATTTTCAAATCAGTCTTTTGGTTGGTAAAAGTTCTTTAAGAGTCAGTCATTAAATGTTCACTTAATCGTAGGAAGAGGCACTCAGAATTTCTGGTAAGACACAGGCTGGCCCCACAGCAGTGTGACAAGAAAAGTTAACCAAGTGACTCCCCGCTCTTTACTGTGAATGCCACCCCTCCTGACTACCCCTCCACCCCTCGCATTTCCAAGCCAGATTAGAGAAAACGTAACTGTTCTGAATCTCTTTAAAAGTTAAGGATAAACCACTTGGTTGCCCACGATGTTTAACTCAACTAAACAATTTAAATGAATCTCCTAGAAACCAGCTTTTATTTCTTCGGTTTCATTTCCGGTGCTTTGATTGTCATGATAAGAATGAATCAGCAATCATAGTCCATGATGTGGACTATTCACAACTTCATGCATTTCATTGACTTGCCAGGAGGGGAGAAATTGAAATTATGAATGATATTGATACCCCGATTAAAAGTAAATACTCAGACTTTGAAAATGAAATAAAATTAAAACTGATGACATATGGGAGGACTCTCACTAGTAAAATGTATTTACTATTGTACAATACATAAATTAGATCTTGATGTTTTGAAGGAAAAACCCTTCTTCCAGCCCTTTGGCAGTTGATCTGTTGAATTCAGGCTCCACTCTTGGTAAGGCTGGGCACATGTGTGTTAGAGTGTGAAACTCATGACACCAGTTAATGTAGTTGAGTGGGTCGGCCTCTGTGATGGCTCTACTGGGCATATTCTCTTTGATGACTTCCTCACAGGGATACTGTAAAGATTAAGTTTTAAGAGGATACTAGTCATTGCTTTCTTTGGTTGTTATTTTTGTTATCTTTCTGTCCCAAATCTATGAATTTCATAAAGTTACTTGGGTATAAATTCTCACCAGAGCAACCAGTTGTTACATAACAATTATATTACAACAATGAACTAGTGGTTGTTAGGGGCCTACGGTATGTCTTTTTTTGTCTTCAAACCAGATAAGAACGATACTTTCCAAGGAGATGAATTTCTCCATAAACACAGTGTTATTCTCGGCTTTGGAATGTATGAATGTTTCCACATATGAATTCCTATGATAATGAAAGAGGGAAGCACATGTTATCTGTCATTGCTATTTTGTTATTTAGGGACTGTCTCTTGTTTTATTATAAATTCATTGGAATGAGCATTATCTAACTAGGCATCTAAAATGGTATGGAATTTAATCATTTGACTTATGACTCCAAGTTAGCTGTAGGGAAGGAAGATAGAGAAACGTCTTATTCTCAGAAGAGGGTACGTACTTCACAAAGCAGTTTTTATCTTTGCAAATTCACCCAAGTCCCACATCTGGCCCTCAGCCATACAGGCACAAGACATCATTTGATTAACTCACCAAGGATTTCCTTTCCCCAGGGGTGGGAATTTATTCACCAATATGAAAGAGACTGATATATACACCATGACAGTTTTGTTATTTATTTGGTGAGCTGTGATTGTTATGTGGATTACAGTAGTCATATTGGAATGACCAGTTTTCTCTTTCTAGGAATAAAAGACACAAGAAGCGAAGTTGTAAACAGAAAGTTGCTTGCTAATCCTCAACAATTAGGAGTAGGATGTCATTCAAGTGTTGAGTGTCATCAGCCTACATTACTCTTTCCTCAGGCAGAGCTTACCCAGCCCTGCCAAGTCAGATTTTATGATGCCTTCATTGACTGCCTGGGCTTCCATTACTCACCAATTTCCTTTTGATTTACACATTCCCTGTTGGTGTTTTAACACCTCTGTCAAGGCTCGGCCCTGGAAGCCACTTATGATTTTTTATGATGATTTTGCATAACACTGTTCTGAACTGTTGTACTTTGTTTATAAATGTAAAGGGTTAATATTTTGGAACTATATTAATACTCTTCTGTTGCCTATCTGTAGATAAGACCTTCCACCTATTCTACAAAACACATCCATTTGCTGCGGATAGCATTAGGATTATTATAGCAGGAGTACAAAGAGAGGATATTCTGCCTTTGATAAACAAAATACTGAGTGGGGCTCATAAAAAATATTAGATCAAGCATCAAGAAATCAACTAATTTTGTGTGCATATCAGCTGTACTGTTTAAAACTGTAACTCTGCTTCATACATCTTTAACTATTGAAGGACACTCATCAATATTCCTGAGGATACCCCTCACAGTTTTTCTCCTTCCCCAACATACTTCCTATTATATGTTGACTATATATTTGATATATTATATACAATATTCAATTTTAAGAAGCCTTGAACATCTATTCATTTAGTCTCTTAAAAGGTGGTTTTGATGATCAAATGAGCACTTTGTAATCTCTAAAGCATTTCACCATCATGATTACCAGTAGTTATAAGTCTAAGATATGAAGATGAAAGTGCAGCCAGACCCTGTGGATAGCAGAGCTAGAGGATATTTGCTCCTAGTGGGTATTCCCCAAATGTCTGTTGATATCATTTTACCATTTAACCATTACTTCTAAGATAACAAAAGGCATATATATGCACAAATGAGGAAAAAAAAACTCATGGGGTAAGAGGGAAGGGTCGGGGAGATAGTTGTGCCAGGCAGTGGAAATGTCATGCACAAAGCTTGGGGCCTCCACAGGGTGTGGTGAGTTGACCCCGCGACCAAGCGTCTCATCTGGAATAGCTGGAGAGCAGCGTGCACAGAGCCTCATGTGCTTTCCAGTGATAATTTGGAAGAGAGAGACATTGATGGCCTTTAAATTATCAAAATCAAACTTGACGTTGTAGAAAGCTCACTTTGGAAGCTGTGTGGAGTGTACCCTGGAGGAGAGAAATGAGTTAGGAGGATACTGTGGTGATTTATGTGATAATGACCCAGGCCTGAAGAAAGCCACAGCAGTGAGGGATGATAAGGAGGAATGTGCTTCTCACGTGTTTCCAAGACAGCCTCAATGAGGCCTGGGGGTTGTTTATACCTGAGGTTCTCAACCAGGACTACACATCGAAATACCAAGGGAGATTTAAAAAGTTCCTAATACCGGCCGGGCGCAGTGGTTCACGCCTGTAATCCCAGCATTTTGGGAAGCCGGGGTGGGTGGATCACCAGAGGTCAGGAGTTTGACACCAGCCTGACCAACATGGAGAAACCCCATCTCTACTAAAAATACAAATAATTAGCCGGGCATGCTGACGCTTGCCTGTAATCCGGGAGAATCGCTTGAACCTGGGAGGCAGAGGTTGCGGTAAGCCAAGATCACGCCATTGCACTCCAGCCTGGGCAACAAGAGCGAAACTGCGTCTCAGAGAAAAAAAAAAATCGAATACCTGGATATCCACCCCTTTCCCGCATCCAGTTAAATGGTAATCGTTGAAGGTAGAGCACACATTGTTTATTTGTAGAAGCTCCCATGCGATTCCAATGTGCAGCCAAGGGTGAAGGAAGAGGGAGGGCTGAGAAGAAAATCTAAAGTAACATCAATATTTTACAGGAGTTGATCAAATAATGTATCTAAAAAGGAGATTGAGTTGGAGGGCTAGGGTGATAGTGACAATTCCCAGGAGGATGGTGTTAGAGAAACAAGAAAGTGGCACATTTAAGAAACGGGGCGGTCAACCATATTTAATATAGAGCAGGGGCTAGGTAAGATAGAGATGGAAAAATGGCTACTGGTTCACCTGGGTGCCTGTCCCAAAAGCAGAAGTAAGTGAGGTAGTGGGCTGCCACCTGCTGGGAGTGGGGCTACAACTCACTGAGTCCCTGGGCTTGGTTGAGTTGGGAACAGCATTACCTGAGATGTTCTGGGGATGACATCTTGGTATCAGGAGGTATGAACATGGGAGAAAGGAAGGCATGTCTGAAATAACAAGTCCATGTGTTAAATATAGAGGATAAGACAATAAAGGAATGGCACTAAAAGCAAAATAAGGTGCTTGGAGAGTCTAGAGAGGAGTAAGTTTGCTCTGTTGAAGTAGTTTAGGATTTGGGCCAAGAATAGATACCAGCAGCCCAGGCTTTCTAATGTGAATTCTGGAGTCAGCTGTGGCTTCTTATAGGAATTCTTCATAGCTAAATGGAACAACTTGGGAGGGAATTGGGATTTTGGGAGTGGACTAATTCCATAGAGATTTATTTTAAAAGCCAGAATATAGTGAAGTGCAGAGTGAAAAAGTGAAATCAGTCCCTGAAATCAGACAAAGACATCAGTTTATTTGTCACAAGCTTTTCCTATGAAGGGAAAGAAAGGAAAGTGGCAATAGCTTGAAGAACCCTGAAGAATCAGAGGATTATTTTGTTATGTTTCTGAAAGCAGAAACAGGTTTGGGTATTTGTGATTTATAGCACTGGAAAATTTACAAGAAACTTTCATTATTTTTTATTATAGAAAATTTGTTTTTTTACATTTCAAAAAATTTTAATTTTTAATTTATGCAGGTATGTAGTAGGTATATATATTTATGGGTTATGTGAAATATTTTGATACAGGCATGCAATGTGTAATAATCACATCAGGCTAAATGGAGTATCCATCTCCTCAAGCTTGTATACTTTGTGTTGCAAACAATCCAGTTATACTCTTAGCTAATTTTACATGTACAATAAATTATTGTTGACGGTAGGAACCCTGTTGTGCTATCAAATACTAGACCTTATTCATTCTATCTGACTATATTTTTGTACCCATTCACCATTACCACTTCCCCTCTAACCTCCCACTACCCTTCCCAGCTTCTGGTAACCATCCTTCTTCTCTGTATTTCTATGAGTTCAATTATTGTAATTTTTAGCCCCTACAAATAAGTGAGAACATGTGAAGTTTTTCTGTCAGTGCCTGGCTTATTTCACTTAACATAATGACCTCCAGTTCCATCCATGTTGTTGCAGATGACTGGGTCTCATTCTTTTTTTATGGCCGGATGCTACTCTATTGTGTATATGTACCACATTTTCTTTATCCGTTCAGCTGTTGATGGACACTTAAGTTGCTTCCAAATCTTGGCTATTGTGAACAGTGCTGCAATAAACATAGAAGTGCAGATATCTTCAATGTACTGATTTTCTCTCTTTTAAGTATATAACCTAACAGTGCAATTGCTGGATCATATGATAGCTCTATTTTTAGGTTTTTGAGGTACCTTCACACTGTTATTTATTTATAGTGGTTGAGCTAATTTACATTCCCACCAACAGCGTATAAGGATTCCCCTTTCTCAACATCCTCACTAGCATTTTTTTTTTCCTGTCTTTTGGATATAAGTCATTTTAAATGAGATGAGATGATATTTCACTGTAGTTTTTTGATTTGCATTTCTCTGATAATCAATGGTGTTGAGCACCTTTTCTTATACCTGTTTGCCATTTATATGTATTCTATTGAGAGATGTCTATTTGGGTGTTTTGCCCATTTTTTAATCGGATTATTAGATTTTCTTCCAAAAAGTTATTTGAGCTTCTTACACATTCTGGTTATGAATCCCTTGTCAGATAGATAGTTTGCAAGTATTTTCTCCCTTCAGTGGGTTGTCGCTTCACTTTTCTGATTCTTTCCTTTGCAATGCAGAAGCTTTTTAACTTGATATGATCTCATTTTTCTGTCTTTGCTTTGGTTGTCTGTGTTTGTGGGGCACTACTCAAGAAATCTACTCCCACTCCAATTTCCTAGAGCGTTTCCCCAATGTTTTCTTTTAGCAGTTTTATAGTTTGAGGTCTTAAGTTTAAATCTTTAATCCATTTTGATTTAATTTTTGTATGTGGTGAGAGGTAGGGGTCTAGTTTTATTCTTTTGCACATGGATATACAGTTTTTCCAGCACCATTTGTTGAAGAGACTGTTCTTTCTCCAGTGTATGTTCTTGGCAACTTTGTGAAAAATGAGTTCACTGTAGATGTCTGGATTTGTTTCTGGATTCTCTATTCTGTTTCATTGGTTTATATGTTTGTTTTTATGCCAGAACCATGCTGTTTTGTTACTATAGTTTTGTAGTATAATTTGAAGCCAGGTAATGTGATTCCCTTTGTTCTGTTCTTTCTGCTCAGGATAGCTTTGACTATGATGGGTCTTTTATGATTTCATATAAATTTTAGATTTTTTCTATTTCTATGAAGAACGTCATTGGTATTTTAGTAGGGATTGCATTGAATCTTTAGGTTGCTTTTGATAGTATGGACATTTTAAAAATAGTGATTCTTCAATCCATGAACATGGAATATCTTTTCCTTTTTTGTGAAGCCTCCTCAATTTTTTTCATCAATCTTTTATACTTTTCATTGCAGAAGTCTTTCACTGCTTTGGTTAAGTTAATTCCTAGGTATTTTATTTTATTTGTAGCTATTGTAAATGAGATTACTTTCTCGTTTCTTTTTCATATTGTTTGCTGCTGGCATGGCAATATGCCATGAATTTTTGTAGGTTGATTTCGTATTCTGCAACTTCACTGAATTTGTTTATCAGTTCTAATAGTTTTTTGGAGGAGTCTTTAGGTTTTTCCAAATATAAGATCATATCATCTGCAAACAAGAATAATTTGACTTTTTCCTTTCCAATTTGGATGTCCTTTATTTCTTTCTCTTGTCTGATTGCTCTGTTTTGCTGAGGTATGTTTCTTCTATACCCAGTTTGTTGAAGGTGTTTATCATGAAGGGATGTTGAATTTCATCAAATGCTTTTTCAGCATGAATTGAAATAATCATATGGTCCTTTATTTTGTTGACATGATGTATCACATCCATTGGTTTATGTAAGTTGAACCATCCTTGCATCCCTGGGATGAATCCCACTTGGTCATGATGAATGATCTTCTTAATGTGTTGTTGAATTGGTTTGCTAGTATTTTGTTGAGGATTTTTACATCAGTGTTCATCAGAGATATGGCCTTTACTTTTCTCTTTTTTTGATGTCTCTTAGTCTGATTTTGGTACGAAGATAATAATGACCTGGTAGAATGAGTTTGGTAGTATTCTCTCTTGCTTTATTTTTTGGAATACTTTGAGTGTGATAGGTGTTAGTTCTTCTGTAAATGTTTGGTAAAATTCAGCAGTAAAGTCATCAGGTCCTGGGATTTTCTTTGCTGGGAGACTTTTTATTACAGCTTTGATCTCATTACATATTATTGGTCTGTTCAGGCTTTGGATTTCTTTATAGTTCAATATTGGTAGGTTATATGTGTCTATGAATTTATCCATTTATTCTATGTTTTCTAATTTATTGGTGTATAATTGTTCATAGTAGCCACTAATGATCCTTTAAATTTATGTAGTATCTGTCGGAATGCCTTCTTTTTCACCTCTGATTTTATTTATTTAGGTCTTCTCCCTTTTCTTCTGAGTCTGGCTAAAGGTTTGTTGATTTTGTTTATCTTTTCAAAAAGCCAATTTTTTGTTTCATTGATCTTTGTATTGTTTTCTTCATTTAAGTTTCATTTATTTCTGTTCTGATCTTTGTTGTTCTGATCTTTGTTATTTCTTTTCTGCTACCAATTTTGAGTTTGTTTTGCTCTTGCTTTTTTAATTCTTTAAGATGCATTGTTAGATTGTTTATTTGACATTTTTCTACTTTTTTGATGTAGGCACTTACAGCTATAAACTTTACTCTTTGTACTGCTTTTGCTGGATCCCATACGATTTGCTATTTTGTCTTTCCATTATCGTTTGTTTCAAGAAATGTTTAAATTTTCTTTTAAATTTTTCCATTGAATCACTGGTCATTCAGGAGCATATTGTTTAATTTTCATGTGTCTGTATAATTTCCAAAATACTTTTTGTTATTGATTTCTAGTTTTATTCCTTTGCAGTCAGAGAAGATACTTTATATAATTTTAATTATTGTCAATATTTTGTCAAGACTTGTTTTGCAGCCTAACATATGGTCTGTCCTTGAGAATGATCCATGTGCTGAGGAGAAGAATGTGTATTCTCCATCCATTTCATTGGATGAAATGTTCTGTAAATATCTATTGGGTCCATTTGATATATGGTGCCTATTAAGTTCAATATTTCCTTGTTGATTGTCTGTCTGGATGATATATCCAATGCTGAATGTGGAGTGTTGAAGTCTTCAGCTATTATTGTACTGGGGTCAATCTCTCTTTAGGTCTAATAATATTTTCCTTATATATCTGGGTCCTCCAGTGGTGGGTGCATATATATTTACAAACATTATATCCTTTTGCTGAATTGATTCATCATTGCATAATGACCTTCCTTGTCTATATAGTTTTTGTGTTGAAATCTATTGTATATGATATAAATATAGCTACTTTTTCTCTTTTTTGTTTCCATTTGCATGGAGTATCTTTTTCCAGCTCTTTATTTTCAGTCTGTGTGTCTCTTCATAGGTGAGGTGTGTTTCTAGTAGGCAAAAGACCATTGTGTCTTCTTCTTATATCCATTTAACCATACTATGTCTTTTGATTGGGGAGTTTAGTCCAGTTACATTCAGTGTTATTATTGCTAAGTAAGGATTTACTCCTGCCATTTTGTTATTTGTTTTCTGATTGTCTTAGAGTCTTCTCTTCCCTTTTTCTTATCTTCCTGACTTCGTTTTAGTGAAGGCGGTTTTCTCTGGTTGTGTATTTTAATTTCTAGCGTTTTTGTTTTCATTGTATATTTTTTGATTTGAGGTTACCATGCGGCTTGCAAATAATATCTCATAACTTATTATTTTAAACTGATGATAACTTGGCACCGAATGCATAAACAAACAATCAACCAAACAAAGAGAAAACTAATAAAGACTACACTTTAGGCAGGGTGCTGTGGCTCACATCTATAATCCCAGGATGTCAAGAGGCTGAGGCAGGTGGATCACTTGAGGCCAGGAGTTCATGACCAGCCTGGCCAACATGATGAAACCCATCTCTACTTAAAGAAATAGAAAAATTAGCCAGGTATGGTGCACATACCTGTAATCTCAGCTACTTGGAAAGCAGAGGTACAAGTATCACTTGAATCTGGGAGGCGGAGTTTGCAGTGAGCCAAGATCATACCACTGCACTCCAACCTGGGAGACAGAGTAAGGCTCCTTATCAAAAATTTTTAAAGAAGACTATACCTTAACTTTGCTCCCTCACTTTTCAACTTTTTGTTGTTTCTATCTTATTGTACTGTCTTGACTATGTCTTGAAAAGTTGTTGTAGTTATTATTTTTGGTTGGTTCATTGTTTAGTCTTTCTACTTAGAACAAGAATAGTTTACACACCACAGTTACAGTGTTATAATATTCTGTGTTTTTCTGTGTACTATTACCAGTGAGTTTTGTACCTTAAGATGATTTCTTATTACTCATTAATGTCCTTTTCTTTCTGATTGAAATACTCCCCATAGGATTTCTTGTAAGACAGGTCTGGTGTTGATGAAATCCCTCAGCTTTTGTTTGTATGGAAAAGTCTTTATTTCTCCTTCATATTTGAATGATATTTTCACTGAGTATGGTATTCTAGGATAAAAGCTTATTTCTTCCAGAACTTTAAATATGTCATGCCACCCTCTCTTTTCCTGTAAGGTTTCCACTGAAAAGTCTACTTCCAGATGTATTGGAGCTCCACTGCATGTTGTTTCTTTTCTTGGGCTGCTTTTAGGATCCTTTCTTTATCCTTGACATTTGGGAGTTTATTAAATGCCTTGAGGTAGTCTTCTTTGGGTTAAAACTGCTTGGTGTTCTATAACCTTCTTATACTTATATATTGGTATCTTTCTCTAAGTTTGAGGAGTTCTCTGTTATCATCCCTTTGAATAAACTTTGTACTCTTACCTCTTTCTCTACTTTCCCTTTAAGGCCAATAATTCTTAGATTTGCCCTTTTGAGGCTATTTTCTAGATCTTGTAGATGTGCTTTCTTCTTTTTCATCCTTTTTTCTTTTGTCTCCTCTGTTTATTTTCAAATAGCCTGCCTTCAAGCTCACTAATTCTTTCTTCTGCTTGATCTGTTCTGTTGCTTAGAGACTGTAATGCATTCTTAAGTATGTCAATTGTATTTTCCAACTCCAGAATTTCTGCTTGAATTTTTTCAATTACTTCAATCTCTTTGTTAAAGTTATCCAGTAGGATTCAGAACTCCCTCTCTGTGTTATCTTGAAATTCTTTGAGTTTTTGCAAAACAGCTGTTTTGAATTCTCTGTCTGAAAGGTCACCTATCTCAGTTTCTCCAGGATTTGTCCCTGGTGCCTTATTTAGTTCATTTGGTAAGGTCATGTTTTCCTGGATGGTACTGATGCTTATGGATGTTCTTCAGTGTCTGCATATTGAAGAGTAGGTATTTAT
Source organism: Homo sapiens (assembly GCF_000001405.40). Taxonomy (NCBI): domain Eukaryota; kingdom Metazoa; phylum Chordata; class Mammalia; order Primates; family Hominidae; genus Homo; species Homo sapiens. The sequence goes on along the minus strand of NW_017363814.1, from coordinate 213,895 downwards.
TGTAGTCTTTGCCATCTAGGTTGTTTGCATCTCTTCTTCTTGGCAAGACTTTCCAGGTATTCGAAGTGACTTTGGTGTTGTGATCTAAGTTTTTGGTCACTGCAGTCATATCTGCATTAGGGGGTTCCTAATGCAGAGGCACCACCTTGGTGGTCCTGGATATAACCCAGAAGAATTATCTTGATTACCAGGCAGAGACTCTTGTTCTCTTCTCTTCCTTCCTTCCAAACAAATTCTTTTGCTCTGTGCTGAGCTGCCTGAAGCTGTGGAAGGAGTGACCCAAGAACCCCTGTGACCACCACCACTGGGACTGCACTGGGTCATACCTGAAGCCAGTACAGCACTGGGTCCCCTTGAAGGCCTATAGTAACCACTGCCTTGCTACCAGCTATGTTCACTCAAGGCCCCAGGGCTCTACAGTGGATGTTGAAGCCAGCCGAGCTTGTGTCCTTTCCTTCATGGCAGTGAGTTCCCCTGAAGCCTAGGAGTGTACAGAGATGTCATCAGAAAGTCAGGACTCCTGACACATCTACCTGGTGCTCTATTCTACTGCAACTGAGCTGGCACCCAAGCCACAAGACAAAAGTCCTTCCTATTCTTCCCCCAGCTTTTCTACAAGCATAAGAGTCTCTCTCATATGGCCACCACCACTCCAGGCCCATGAGGAATACTGTCTGGCTACTGCTAATGTTCACTCAAGGCCAAAGGAATCTTTACTCAGCTTGTGATGAATATTGCCAGGCCTGGAACTCTCCCTTCAAGGCAGTAGGCTCCCCTCTGCCTTGGGGCAGTTCAAGAAATGCTGTCCAAGAGCCAAGGCCCGGAATCAATGATCCTAAGAGCCCACTTGGTGCTCTGTCCCACTGTGGCTGAGCTGGTACCTAAACTGCAAGACAAAGTCCCCTTTCCCCTTCCCTCTCTTTTTCTCTAGCAGAAAGGGTCTCTCCCCATAGCCACCACATCTGGGAATATGCTGGGTCACACATGAAGCCAGCACATCTCTGAGTCTCGCCCAGGGTTCATGGTGAGTACTCCTGGCTACCAAGGAGTACTTCAGGGCCCAAGGGCTCTTTCATTAGCAGGTGGTGAATCTTGTCAGGACTAGGTATTTGCCTTAAAGATAGCAGGTTTCTTTCTGGCCCAGGGTGTGTCTAGAAATGTTGTCTGGGAGCTAGGGCTTGGGATGGGGGCCTCAGCACTCTGCCTAATGCCCTATCATACTGTGGCTGAGCTGGTATCCAAGTTGCAAGACAAAGTCTTCTTTACTCTTCCCTCTCCTCTGCTCAAGTGGAAGGAAAGAGTCTGTCCTGGAGTTATAAGCTGTGCTGCCTGGGGTTAGGGGAGGGGTGGTGAAAGTACTCCCTTGGCCACCCCAGTTGGTGTCTCAGTAGGTCATGTGCTCCCCGAAGTCCACTGGCTTCAAGCCCCGCACAATTCCTTATCCAGGAATTGTGGTCCTTGTGGCCTAGACAAACTTTCCAGAGCTCTTTAGCCTGCAGTGGCAAGGCTTGCTGGAATTCAGGTTCCAACTGCTGAGACAGGAGATTCCCCTATCACCAGGGTTGGATTAAATGTTCCCTCCATGGGAGCTGGCTGAGTTCTGCCCAGTGTTGCTTTGTGCTGTGACAGGACAGCACTGAGTTCCAATGCAGAGTCCCACAATCACCATGCTCACCCTCTCCCAAGTGCACAGATTCTCTCTCTTCAGCACATGGCCACTGCCAGGAGATGGGGAAGGTGGGGTTGTATTCAATTCAAGACTGTCCCTACACTCCTCAGTGCCTCTTTTGGTGATATGAAGTAAAAACCAGGTACTGTGATTGCTCACCTGATTTTTGGTTCTTATGAAGGTCCTTTTTTGTGTAGATAATTGTTCAATTTTGTTTCCCTGTTGGGAGGACAATCTGGGGAGACTTCTATTTTGCCATCTTGCTCAACCTCCTTATTAATATTTAAGTCAAAAATAGAATAAAACATTTGGTAGAAATAACAGGATTTTATTTTTGTTTTTAATTGGCGTCTATTGTTTGTGGATGTCTGAAGCCTGATTTTAGATTATTTTGAGGATAAAAATGCTGTTTTCATGAAGAGCTGCTGCAACAATCATTGAATTATGGAAATACTGTAGTGTAGTTTTTATTATTTGGCAACTAAAAACATCTTAAAAGGCATTTCTTTAAGTGAAGTGTAACTGTACATTTTGGTAGATACATTTACCTTGTTTTTTGAGATAATTGGAAATGTTCTGGGTTATCTCAAAACCAAAGTTGAGAATTACTCACATAGAAAAATTATGCAACCTTTCTTTCTGAACACATGCAGGCTCTGGATTCTAGCTTGATCTGGAGTTCTGGGAGCTGGAAAGGATAATGAGGATGGCTCCTGAAAATTCAGGGAATCTAAAGTCTGAGTGTCAACTTTGGGATGACAGCCCATACAAGAAATGGTTGGGAAGTGAGGGAAAATTGGCAGCACCAGGTCCACAATCAAGATGTTGACTCTGATCCAACACTGAAGCAGCAGTGAAAATTCTCAAACTCATGTCTTAAATACAGTCTTCTGTAAATCACAAAATTAGAGATATAGTTGGAACATCTAGGGATCATTTTAGCACCTGCCTTTCTCTAAGTTGCTATGTGTGCATTTTTAAATAATTAAGTGCAACAATTTATAATCACTTCTTTGAAAGTTGCCTCATTAAAATCTATAATCCTATTAAAAATCTATTTCAGACTTAATCAATTGTGTTTACTTCTCATTGCATGCATTAACTTTATTTTGGTTTATCTGCACATCTTTTTTTTTTTTTTGCTTAAACTTATAAAAAAATAAGCAGTTTTCTGGCTTCTCTATTATTTCTTTAGGTGTTCACAAAAGCAAATAAGTTTAAGAATGTATACCATTTTCATTTTAAAGCATGATTTTCACCTATCCACAAATTTTGGAAAATTATTTCTTTTGAGCATACATTTTCCATGCTTTGTCTCACATCAGGAGTGATTTTTTTAAAAAGCCTTAGTAATGGTTCAGCCATTTTTAATGATAGGAAGGTGGTAGAAAAAAATCAATGCATTTCTTCTTTTTTTATTGTGTTAAAAACACATAACATAAAATTTACCATCTTGATTATTTCTAAGTCTACGACAGTGTTAACTGTGTGCACATTGTTACACAACAGATCTCTAGATATTTTTCATTTTGTAAAATTCAAATTGTGCCCACCAAGCTATTTTCTTCTGCCCCCTCCACCAACCCTTAGCAAATGCCATTCTACTTTCTGTTTCTAAGAGTCTATTTAAATACTTCATATAAGTGGAATCAGACAGTATTTGTTTTTGTAACTGGCTTATTTCACATAATGTCATTAAGCTTTATCCATTTTGTAGCATATAACAGGATTTTCATTTCCTTCTTTTTAAAGGCCAAATAATATTTCATTGAATGTATATACTACGTTTTGGCTATCCATTCATTCATTGAGGGACATTTAGGTTGCTTTTACCTCTCATTTATTATTTTTAAAAATGCTGCAAGGAACATGAGTATGCTAATATCCCTTTGAGATCCTGTTTTCAATTCTTGGGGATATATATCCTGAAGTGGAATTGCTGGATCATAAAGTAATTCTATTTTTAATTTTTTGAGGAACCTCTGTACTATGTTCCATAGTGGGCTGCACCATTTTACATTCCCAGCAACAGTGCACAAAGGTTCCAATTTCTCGACATCCTTGTCAACATTTGTTATTTTCTGTTTTTTTTTTAATTTTTGATATAAAATAAATGCCATCCTAATGGGTATAAGGTAATATCTTGTGGTTTTGATTTTTACTTCCCTGATATTTAATGATATTGACCGTTTGGATATCGTCTTTGGAGAAATGTTTGTTCAAGTCCTTTGTTCATTTTTAATCAGGTTATTTGCTTTTGTTCTCTTGTTTATTTGCAAGAGTTATTTATATACTATGGATATTAACCTCTCATCAGATATGTGGCTTGCAACTATTTTCTCTTATTATATAAGTTCCCTTTTTAATCTGTTCATTGTTTCCTGTGCTGTGAAAAAGCTTTCAGTTTGATATACTCCTATTTGTCTATTTTTTTGCTTTTGTTGCCTATGCTTTTGGTCTTATATCCAAAGAATGAATCATTGCTAAATTAAATATCATGAAGCTCTCCTCCTATATTATATTAATTTTGGAGTTTCAGCTCTTACATTTAAGTCTCTAATCCATTCTGAGTGGATCTTTGTAGATTGTATAAGAAAAGGGTCCAACTTCAGTATTTCATATGTGGATATTCAGTTTTCCAAGCACCATTTGTTGAAGATACTATTCATACCCTATTATGTAACCTTGGCACCCTTATTGAAGTTCATTTGATCATATACATGTGGGTTTATTTCTAGGCCTTATATTCTGTTCCATTAGTCTATATGTCTGTCTTTATTCCAGTATCATACATTTTGATTGGTGTAGCTTTGTAAACTGTTTCGAAGTCAGTAAGTATGAAGCCTCTAGCTTTGTTTTACTTTCTCAAGATTATTTTGACTATTCAGGGTCCTTTGACATTCCATATTTATTTTAGGGTAGCTTATACGAACTCTACAAAAAATGACATTGAAGATTTGGTAGGGATTGAATTGAATCTGTAGATTCCTTTTGATACTATGGTCACTTTAACAATATTGTCTTCCATTTCATAAACATGGAATGGTTTTCCATTTATTTGTGACTTCTTTGATTTCCTTCAGTAATGTTTTGAAATTTTCAACGTATTAATATTTTACCTCATTGATTAAGTTTATTCTTAAGTATTTTATTTTGTTTGATGATGTTGTAAATGGTATTGTTTTTCTAATTTTCTTTTCAGATTGCTTATTGTTACTGGATAGAAACACAACTAATATTTGCATATTGATTTTTGTATCCTGCAACTTTGCTGAATTTGTTTATTAGTTTTTCTTGTGGGATCTTTAGGGTTTTACACATACAGGATTATGTCGTCTGCAAAGATAATTTTACTTTGTTTTTCTTTTTAGTTTGCATGCATTTTTTTTCTTCTTCTTCTTTCTCTTGTCTAATTGCTCAGGCTAGGACTTGTATACTGTGTTAAATAGAAGTGGTAATAGTGGGCATTCTGGCTGGGCATACTGGCTCACACCTGTAATCCCAGCACTTTGGGAGGTCGAGGTGGGCAGATCACCTGAGGTCAGGAGTTCAAGACCAGCCTGGCCAACATGGTGAAACATTGTCTCCACAAAAATACAAAAATTAGCCAGGTATGATGGCGGATGCCTGTAATCCCGACTACTCAGGAGGCTGAGGTGGGAGAATCACTTCAACCTTGGAGGCAGAGGTTGCAGTGAACCGAGATCATGCCGTTGCACTCTAGCCTGGGTGACAGAGTAAGACTCTGTCTTTAAAAAAAAAAAAAAAAGAAGTGAGCATTCTTGTCTTGTTCCTTATCTTAGCATAAATGCTTTTGGTTTTTCACTGTTGAGTGTTGTGTTAGCTGTGGGATTTTTAGATATGGCCTTTATTATGTTGAAATAATTTCCTTCTATTCCTAGTTTGAGTTTTTACCATGAAAGCATGTTGAATTTTGTTATACGCTTTTTCTGCATCTACTGAGATGATCATGTAATTTTTATTTTTTGTTCTGTTGATGTGGTGTATCGCATTAATTTGTTTTTGTATGTTGAACAATTCTTGCATCCCAGGGACAAACCCCACTTGGTCATGGTATATAATCCTTTTAATGTGCTGTTGAATTATGTTTGCTAGTATTTTATTGATAAATTTTGCATATATATTTATCAGGGAGATTGGTCTGAAGAAAACTTTCTTTTTAGTATCTTTGTCTGACTTTGGAATGAGAATAATGCTGGCCTCATAATATGAGTTTCAAAGTATTCTCTCCTCTTCAATTTCTTGAAAGAGTTTAAGAAGAATTGACATTAATTTTTTAAATGTTTCTTAGAATTCTCCAGTGATGCCATCTGGTCCTGGAGTTTTCTTTGTTGAGAGTTTTTGATTATTGACTCAATCACCTTACTAATTACAGGTTTCTTGAGATTTTCTATTTATTCATGATTCAGTCTTGGTAGGTTATATATTTCCAGAAATGTATCCATTTCATCTAGGTTATCTAATTTTTTGCTGTATAATTGTTCAAATTAGTCTCTTATGATCCCTTTGGATTTCTGTGGCATTGGTTTTAATGTCTCCTCTTTAATTAAGGATTCATTTTTTTCTCTCTCTCTCTTTCTCTGTCTCTGTCTCATTAGTCTAGCTAAGGCTTTGCCAATTTTATTAAGCTTTTCAAAAAAATAACTTAGTTCCATTGTTTTTTTCTATTGTTTTTCTATAATGTCATTTATTTCTGCTTTAGTATTTATTATTTCCTTCCTTCTACTAACTTCGGGTTAAGTTTGTTCTTTCTCTGGTTCCTTGTGTTGTAATGTTAGATTGTTAATTTGAGATCTTTCTTCTTTTTTAATGTAAGTGTTTACCACTATTAACTTTCCTCTTAGTATTACTATCATTGCATCCCATAATTTTTGGTATGTTTTGTTTCTGTTTTTATCTCAATATATTTTCTAAATTTTCTTTTGATTTCCTTTTGATGTATCAGTAGTTCAAGAATGTGTTGTTTAATTTCCATGTACTTGAGAATTTACTAGCTTTCCTTTTGCTAATGATTTTGAGTTTCATTCCATTGTGGTTGAATGGACTTTTTATTATTATATAATGTTCTTATTTACATCTTGTGATAGTTTTTAACTTAAAGCCAATTTTTCCTGATAAAAGTATGGCCAACCCTACACTCTTTTGGATAGCATTTGTATGAAATATTTTTATCATTTCATTTTCAGCTTATTTGTGTGTTCTTCTATGTAAAGTGAGTCTCTAATAGACAGCATATAGCTGGATCTTATTTTTCATTTATTTTCTTCTCTTGTTACCTTCCTTTGTGTTTTGTTAATTTTTTGTAGCAACATACCTTGATTTTTTTATTTCCTTTTGTGTTTCTTCTATACATATTTTCTTTGTGGTTACTATGGAGACTATATAAAATATCATATTTATAACAATTTACTTTATAACAGCTCTAGCTCAATTACATACAAAAGACTCTGCTCCTTTACATCCCCAACACATTCTATATTATCAATGTTACAGATTACATCTTTTATATTGCATATCCATTAACCTAGTTAGTAGTTATATTTTTATTCTTTTATCTTTTAAATTCTATACCAGAATAAAAGTGATTTTTTCATCACTATTGCCATATTATATTTACCTTTACAAGTGCTGTATATATTTTTTTGTGTTTTCATTTGCTGTATAGTGTCCTTTTGTTTCAACTTGAAGGACTCACTTTCTCATATCCTGTAAGGCAGGTTTAATAGACTTGAAATCCCTCAACGTTTGTTTATCTAGGAAAGTCACCTCTCCTTCATTTATGAAGGACAGTTTTGGAAGACGTGGTATTCTTGGTTGGCAGTTTTCTTACTTTCAGCCCTTTGAGTACATCATCCTACTCCCTTCTGATCTCTACTGTCTCTGCTGAGAAATCCACTTAATCTTATGGGAGCTCCCTTGTTCAGGATGAGTCACTTTTTCTTTCTCTTTTTTTTTTTAATTTAAGATTTTCTCTTTATCTTTGACATATACAGTTGGATTTTAATGTGTTCTCACGTAGATTTCTTTGGATTTATCCTATGTATAGTCCTTTAAGTATCATGAATATGGATGTCTATTTTTTCCCTCAGATTTGGGGACTTTTTTGCCATTGTTTCTTCAAATAAGCTTTTTACCCATTTTCCTTTGTTTCCCTCTTCTCCTTCTGAGCTTTCATAGTGAATATATTGGTCCACTTGATGATGTCCCATGAGTTCCTTAGGCTTCCTTCACTTTTCTTCATTATTTTATTGTTGCTGTTGTTCCTCTAACTTGATAATTCCAAATGATCTGTCTTCAAGTTCACTGATTCCTCTGTTTGATCAAGTCTTCTGTTAAATCCCTCTGGTGAATTTTTCAATTCAGTTATTTTGTTCTTCAGCTCCTTAATTTCTGGGTTTTTTTAAATTAGTTTCTATCTCTTTATTGATATTCTCACTTTGTTCATGCAGTTTTCCTCATTTCATTTGATTGTCTGTGTTCTCTTGTAGTGCATTGAGTTTCTGTGTAATTATTTTAAATTCTTTTTTTTTGTGTGTGTGATGGAGTCTTGCTCTGTTGCCCAGGCTGGAGTGCAGTGGTATAATCTCGGCTCACTGTAGCCTCTGCCTCCTGCGTTCCAGCGATTCTCCTGCCTCAGCCTTCTGAGTAGCTAGGATTGCAGGTGCCCGCCACCATGCCCAGCTAATTTTTTTATTTTTGGTAGAGACAGGGTTACACCATGTTGGCCAGGCTGGTCTTGAACTCCTGACCTCAGGTGATCCACCTGCCTTGGCCTCCCAAAGTGCTGGGATTATAGGCATGAACCACTGCACTCAGTTCTGAATTCTTTGTTAAGTAATTTATAGATCTGTTTCTTCAGGTTAGCACCTGGAGATTTGTTTTATTCCATTGATTCAGCCATTTTTTGTTTCTCCATATTCCTTATTGTCTTTTTTTTTTTTTTTTTGGTGTGATTTCTGCATTTGAAAAAAATCACCACCTCTCTAGATTTTACAGACTGGATTTGTGCAAAGGAAGATCTTTACCAATCAGCCTGGCTACAGATTCTGGGGGCCTCCTAAAGGTTTTCTGGGGATGAATCTTCACTGGGCTTATGTACGTGACTACCCAATTAGAGAGGTTTGCCAGTTTCTTTCTGAGGGGCTTTGTAGTCTCTTGCTCTCTCTGGTGTCTATCTGCAGTACTTCACATTCTCTGGCACTGCGGTAAGCCACTGAGTTCTCTTTTGTTCTCAGCAACCCTCAAGCATCCAAAGTATGCTGGCTCCCCATCAGTATTCTGAGCCAAGTTAACACAGAAACCATCTCCACAGGTAGCCCCCTCAAAAGCTATAAAGTTGGATGTATATTCTACCCTTCTCTTTCCATCCCAGTGGAGAAGCCCCAAGTTGTGTGTTTATTCTTAAGAGTGGCAGTAAGAAAAGAAAAAGCTATGCCAACAAAAGAAACAATCTTGCTGATGGCCTTTTTTTTATGGGTTAGAATGCTTATTATATGCCCAATTACAAAAGAAAACACAGTGACTGCTTGCATAGAAAAGAATAAAGATGACTACAGAACTGCAAAGAAGAGTTATACATGGCCTCTCTCATAAAGGAACAATCCTATTTTTATTGCAAATCAAATTTTCATAATATTTTCATAATATCAAATGGGATTGTAGCACAAAAGAATTTCACTAGCACTGTTGCTAGCTTAGGGGAATGTCCACTGGGGATTAAATGCAATGTCTACAATCTGACTATTCTTGGTTTTGAGCTTGCCTGGTGTCCCATGACTTCTTAACTGCTTTTGCAGTTCTCATGAAGGCTTTTTGGAACATATGTTCTTGTTAAGTCCGTGCCTTTGTGCAGCAAGGTCTGGGGTTTCCCATTCTGCCATCTTGCTAATGTCACTCCAGGCTTTTCTTAAGTAGTTGCAATATGTTTAGTTTCAATGGTTGGACACTTAAGTGATAACAGATAATTCAGAATCATCCAAATGTTTGAAAATCTGTTTCTCTCAAGTCAGTCATCAATAAGAAAATGTTGGCATTGCTTAGGAATAACAAACATAAAACTCTAGAATTATTCACTCATGCACTTCTATGCATACAATGTTTTCATAATTACTTTACCTAAATACTTTTATAATTATTGATTTTTACAGTCATATAGCATTAATTAATAGTTATCTAAGTATGCTTTTAAATTGCTGCTGTGAGCGGTCAGAGTTTTTTAACTCTATTTTTGTAAAGAAGAAAAAACCAAGAACATTAAATGTTTCACACTTTTTAAATACGGTGTCAGACTTGAAATAAAATTTATAAAAGCTTGAAAATGTAAAAGGTAAATTATTCTGTATGTTTCACTTAACTCATTCGAGTTGCAGGTACAGTGTTGGTTTTCATAGCTTACCCTTTCTACCTTGATAATGTGAAATGAATAGTAAGTTTCATCTATATGCCCAGAGATAGACTTTTATTTAAAATTTTCACAGTAAGCAGATGCCAAGAAGGATTCAAGTCCCTTAAGTTATTTTATCTTTTTTCAAGAGAATCTCCAATTTGGACTTTGTCAGAGGAAGAACATATAAAACATTTGCAGCTTCTTGCTGACTTCAGTGTCTAGTTTGAAGTATTTTCATTGAATGAAATTCTTTTGTGCTACAATTCCATTTGATATTATGAAAATTTGATTTGCAACAAAAATAGGATTGTTCCTTTATGAGAGAGGCCATGTATAACTCTTCTTTGCAGTTCTGTACTCATCTTTATTCTTTTCTATGCAAGCAGTCACTATGTTTTCTTTTGTAATTGGGCATATAATAAGCATTCTAACCCATGAAAAAAAGGCCGTCAGCAAGATTGTTTCTTTTGTTGGCATAGCTGTTTCTTTTCTTACTGCCATCCTTAAGACTTATATGACAAGCCAGTTGAAATAAAATTTCCTGTGTTTAGGAAATAAATTGTACCCGGAAGCACAGAACTTTGAGCAGTGGGGATAAAACATATTGTACTACTGTAAAGGCATATTCCTACCAAAAATCTAAGACATTTTTATATTAACAATATGTCTCTCAAAATGCAATAAAATAAGCATCAGATTATAATGCAATTTGAAAGAGTTCTCAACATGTGTGGTAACTTGATTCCACCATGATTGATTATAATCCATTACTTTGTCACTAAATGACTTCTTCCTAACTGGCTTGAAAAGAATAACCGTTTGGAAATCCTGATAAATGATTTTTAAACTTTGTTACAGTTTATGTTAAGCATAATGTTTGTAAAGAGAGTAATATATTCAGTTGGGTTTTCTTGCTCTTTTTCCTTAACAAATTCTGTTTTATCCCTTTTTTTTGACTGAGCTTTCACTGAAGTTTCAGTTTTGCAGGCAATATCACACTTGTTTCCTTTAATATTTACAGTGATCACTGCATTTTTGAGTGTTAGGCATTGAAAGGCTTCTAAGGAAAACTACTATTTGTTCCAGAGCCTTTTCTTTTTTCTGTTCTTTACAGTAAAATCCTTTTACATATCCAGAAAAAAAAAATAACAATTTGGCTTGGTTTAGGGGTCATTTTTGTTATTACCTCTAGCAAGATGGGTTTCAAGTTGGGGTCTCTGGGGCTTGTGTATGAGGGTTCAATGAGATGGCTCAGCAAAGATCTTGAGTAGCTGTTTTTTTTGTTGTTATTTTGTTTGTTTTTTCTAACTACTGCAAATCTCACTATCAGATATGGTATTATAGCAGTGAGTTATTTGAAAAAAAAGTTAGTTAAAAAAAATTGCTTTTGGCTTACAGTGATCCTGTAGGCAGAGACCAGGATTTTTCTAATCTCTCACAATAGAAAATGTCAGTGTCCTTTCTCCTCTGTCTCCCTTTTTAACCTCCTTTCTTCCCGTACTCATTAAGCATCTACTACATACAAGAAAATAAACTTGATACACAAAATAACATGTTTTATTCCTGAAAAATTACACTGAGCAAAATACGCCAGATACTACATGATACACAAGTATATGAAATTTTCAAAGCAAAACTAATATAGAGTTATAAAACATATACAATACAAATATATAGAAAATCTCCTCTGCTGTCATGGAACTTAGTCCAATTTAAGCAGGCAGATGAGATCAGTCTTCAACTATGTTCAGTACAAGTCCTTAGATGACAAATTAGTAGCACAATCTAAGTGCCAAAAGGGTTAGAAACAAAAGAGGAGAGATTTGTCTTCTCTATCAGAGATGGTAAACAAGAAAACTCAGAATTGGAGTCAGACCACAGCTGTGTTTTGTTCAACCAATATAGTGGGGTTTTTCCCCATAAATTAAATTATTTTCCAACACTTAGAAATTGAGAGATTTCAAATAAAAATAAATATATAAAATTTTGAGCTTCTCTTGAAAAGCCCAGAATCTTCAGCATCCTGAAGCCTCTTTTCCCTGCTGACAGCGATAGGCTGACAGTGACTGTCTGAGACATTTTCTGGCCTCCTCCACCATTTGACCTCTACATTTGTTCCTGCTTCTTGCTTTTACCCAAATGCATATGGGATGATGAGCCCTGCTCTGTACTCATCTCTGACACCATGTCAGCTCCTGTTCCTTTTAGATGTTTCCTCTTACTTTCCTCTTGTGACTTGTTACCACTGTCTTATACATGGCCTCTGTTACTGTGCACCCAGCAGCAGGGTAGACTCCTATAGCCTTACTCCCTATCCATCTCTCCCCAATCAGGACAGTGTGCATACTTTTACCAGTATGTGTAATCGTATAGGGCAGGATGACAGTTAAGTAAGAAGCACAGGCATTGCAAGATTGGGAGTGTAAAACAGATGCCATAAATTACAGGCCTAATATCAGAGGACTAAGGCCAGTAAAGGAACTATGAGGAAGCTTCTTTCATTTATTTTTTAGAATATACATATATATAATATTTTTTCTATGTATACATATTTGTTTTTTTGTTTCTTTTAAATTTAAGTTTTTATTTCAGTAGGTTTTGGGGAAACAGATGGTCTTTGGTTACATGAATAACTTATTTAGTGGTGATTTCTGAGATTTTGGTGCACCCGTCACCCAAACAGTGTATATAGTATCTATTGTATAGTCTTTTATCCTTCACTTCCCCACCTTTTCCCCCAAGTCCCCAAAGTTCATTGTATCATTCTTATGCCTTTGCATCCTCTTAGCTTAGCTCCCACATACGAATGAGAATACACAATGTTTGGTTTTCCATTCCTGAGTTACTTCACTTAGAATAATAGTCTCCAATTCCATCCAGGTTGCTGTGAATGCCATTATTTCATTTCTCTTTATGGCTGAGAGGTATTCCATGGTGTGTGTGCATATATATATATCACATTTTCTTAATCTACTCGATGATTGATAGGCATTTGGGCTGGTTCCATATTTTTGCAATTGTGAATTGTGCTGCCCTAAACACGCATACACAGGTATCTTTTTTGTATAATGACTTCTTTTCCTCTGGGTAGATATCCAGAAGTGGGATTGCTGGATCAAATGGTAGATCTACTTTTAGTTCTTTAAGGAATCTGCAGACTGTTTTCCATAGTCGTCGTACTAGTTTACATTTTCACCAACAGCGTAGAAGTGGAACTATGAGGAAGTTTCTGAGGAATAGTATGTGAGTAGTAAACAGGAGGCCAAGGACCAAAGATGGATTAAAAAGAGGAGGAAGTGGCCAATAAGCACATGAAAAGATGCACAATATCACCAGACACCAGATAAATTAAATTAAAACCACTGTAAGATACTACATATCCACTAGGATGGCTACAATTTAAAAGATTGATAATACCAATCAATGTGGATGTTATCAGTCCGTTCTCACACTGCTATAAAGATACTACCTGTGACTGGGTAACTTACAAAGGAAAGAGGTTTAATTGACTCACAGTTCTGCATGGCTGGGGAGGCCTCAGGAAACTTATAAACATGGTGGAAGGGGTGGAGGCATGCCTTACATGGCAGTAGGTGAGAGACAGTGGGCAAGAGCAGGGAAAACTGCCTTATAAAACCATCAGATCTCATGAGAACTCACTCACTATCATGAGAACAGCATGGGGAAAGTGCCCCCATGATCCCATCACCTCCCACCTGGTGCCTCCCTTGACACGTGAAGATTATGAGGATTACAATTTGAGATGAGATTTGGGTGGGGACACAAAGCCAAACCATATTAGTAGAGCAACTGCCATTCTCATATGTTGTTAGAAGAAATGTAAAATGATACTACTTTGGAAAAATAGTTTTGCATTTTCTTATAAGGTTAAATGTATACTTACCGTAGGTATTTAGGCCTTGATCAGTGAAAACATGGGTCCACACACACACTTGTGTATGAATGTTCATAGCAGTTTTTTTCATAATAGCCAAAAACTGGAAATAATTCAAATGCCCATCCCTAGGTAAATGAAAAAGAAATTGTGGTTTTCCATTTAATAGAATATTACTCTGCAATAACAATTGTATGAATTTTTATACATAAAATAACATGCTTGATTCTCAAAAAATGCTGAGCAAAAGAAATCAGGTATTGTGTAATTCACAAATGTATGAAATTTAAGAGGCAGAACTAATGTAGACTTATAGAAAGCAGATCAGTGATTTACTGGGGCCAAAAGTGAGAGAAAACTGAAATGGGCATAAGAAAGCATTTTGAGGTGTCGAATATATTCTATGATCATGATACTGATCATAGAAAATATTTTATGCTTATGATACTGATTACACAGTGTATATATTTTCAAGATTCATAGAACTCTATATTTAAAATATGTACAGATTATTGTATGTAAATTTCACATAAATGAAATTGATTAAGTAAAAAAATACTTTTACAAAACAAGGCAGGCAATCCTAAGAGGGTGACACATAGACAACTGGGAAAGATGAGCAGCAAAGGACATAAAATATTACAAGGACATCAAAGTACTAACTTGGGGACCAAATGAATACTTGGGACCCTTCCGGCTGCTGTAGATGACTTTTTCCACAGAGCTTCCCATACAGACAGCTGCCCTACCTGGTTTGCCTTAAAGGCACTCAGCATCTTCTCTTAGTATATCAGTCCCCTCAAGAACTTTGCATTTCTTCATTGCTTCCTGTCACATAAAGCGAGGATCTGCTCATCCACTTATTTTGGTAAATAAAGTTTTATTGAAACACAGCCACACTCCCTTGGTTATGCATTGTCTGTGACTACTTTCATGCTACAATAGCAGATTTGAGTATTTGCAACAGGACTGTGTGACTTGTAAAGCCTAAAATAATTAATATCTGGCCCTTGACAGAAAAATTAGCTGATTCTTGACATAAAGCCACACTTATCTCCCTGGCTCTCAAGCTCTCCCATTCTCTTGCTACCTCTCTTACCCTTCTTCACACTGTATTTATACTTCCTATTTAAATTTATTCCCCACTCCTGCCTTATTTGGTTCTAGATCTAATTACAAGGATTGTCTTCTTGCCTCTATCAGTCCTTGCTAATTCTTCTTTCATGTTGGTATTTAGTCTGTTCCCGTAACTTAAAATGACTTCCTTCTCTTTTGTCTTTCCAATTCCTATACCTAACTGAATTTCTGTTTCTCCCTTAAAGTTATCTCTTTGCCCCTGCTCTATCTGAACAAATCTTGAATTAATTCATGTCTTGCAGTTAAGTTGCTGGTTACTCTCTAGTTGGGTTGCTTTTTCCTACAGCTAGATCGGAAGCTGGTTGAGGGAATATTTCTTTTCTTTATGCTCTCATAGCCTCCTTTCCCACTCCCACCTCCAGTGTTTTGGGGCAGTGTGTCAAATGTCTTTAATCTGTCCATGTCTCTCCATCTCCCATCCCACAGTCCTAGGTCATTGTCTTCTGCTTGGACTATTGCAGTATTATCTTAATTGGCCTCTCTGCTCCATTCTTACCCCTCTCTTCTCTGTTCTCACAGCACTTAGTATGATATTTTTAAAAAGCAAATCATATTTTACTCTACTCCTTAAAATGCTTCCATGACTTCCCTTTGCACTTACAATAAAATCTGACCTTTGCTTATCCTGCCATCTCCACCTTCTTCTTCTTCCCCTACTCATTGTGCTTTACCCAACCAAGCCCTTTCCTAGCCCACAGCCTTTGTGGTGGTGGCTCTTTTTCCCAAAATCCTCTTCTTCCAGCTGTTTCTATGGCTTCTCATCCTTCACTGTCCCCAGACCTCTCTAAAGTCTGGTGCTTCCCCTGAAAAAGAAGTACCTTATATCAAGTAACCTTATTTCTCTCTTTCTAAGGGCCTGACACAATTGAAACTTTTCTATGATTATGTATGTTTTAATGGTTTATTGTCTGTCTCCTTACACAAGTTAATAACCACCATGAGGACAGAGATCTTTTCTATCTTGTTTGCTAGTATATCCCTAGCACCTAGCATGGGATCTGGCTCATTGAAGACAATAAGTTATTGTTGAATCAATGAACAAGTGAAAACATAGTAGGCAAATAATAAATAATCAGTATTTTCTCTTGTGTTTCCATGAAATTTTTTTATCCTAATGGAGTTCTTTTTTTACCTAATTTTTACAGGTACTTCTATTGTGACTGTTAAAGCTTTTGCTCCTGACTCAATTCAGGACAGCATGAAATATTCAATTTTTAGTGGAAATGAAGATGGAGTTCTTTCCCTGTGCTCTAAGTCAGGTAATCCTTCTCTACCCTATACTAGCTTTATTTTCTGCTCCATTTAATGTTATTTCTGCAAAATTTGCAAAGTAGAAATTGTTAGAGCTAAGTAATTTAAAAGGTAAGCAAGAAAGAATTTTTTAAGCTAGCCTATGAAAAATTATGGGAAATCAAAAACTATTTATTTATATTCACTAAGAATTATATTCTTAATATTTCCAAACTAGACAGTGTCTATCCTGCCCTTCAAATTTTTGAAGATAAATTAGCTTCCACTTACAATTTACCCATGTATTTGGGAAAATTGGAGATAGAGTAGTGAGATCATTGACACTGAGTCTGAATTCAAAAATAAGAACACATCTAGCTGTAAGGAGTTTTCATCAGAGATTCTTGTAATTTGCTACTGAATGTCAACAACACAACAACAAAAAAAGAACAGCTGTGAAGGTTTCTACACAGTGGTAAAGAAATTACTTCCAAACACAGCATGTATTAAACTTAGCTTCAGTAAGACCATTACTGTTTAAAATGAATACCAATTGATTACTTCAAACATACCTTTTTTCACTAACAACTCTGTAGTAGATACACATCTACTGCTTTGTTGTCAAACTTCAAGAAGAATGTTTCTAATAATGTCTCTGTTGCCATACAACCACCTTATTTAATCTATACTACATGCACCTGGGAAGAATTGAGAGCGGGTAATTCCTTAGGTAAATGTCCTTTCATCCAGGGTGGTGTTATGACTTTTTGGTCCATACAGCCTTTGGTCAGCAACCTTTCTGAGGTAGCCTGCTAGAAGTCTTCATCTCTTCATCCCATTGTTGCATTAAAGGGTAGTATAGGAAACCTGTTCACGAAAGGATCGTTTGTGAACATCACCAAGTCTTAATTTTCTTGCAGTCCAGGTGTCTGAGGGTTCTGGGAAAGCAGCCCAGATTAAAATGCTTAGGAACGAAGAAGAGTAGCATAGCTGGCATATTTTCCCAGGCTATCCAGACCCTCCGCCACCGCACTCCTAACATGGCCCAGACCTGGTCTTATTTCTTCTACAGTCCATCATTAAAATGCAGATAAAATCTTCCTAGGGTTAGTCCAAAGAGGTCATTCACAGGAACATCTTTATTTTTTGATTAGATAACTTATTTACATTGAGTTTTAAAATTTTATTGTGAAATATCTGCCAGATGGTATGTTGAAACATGTAAGACTGTTTAATGGACAATAGTAAAATAAAAACCCATACACATGCCACCCATCTCTGGAAATAGACATTAAGGTAGCCCACCCTTATCCTTAGTTTCTTTTTCTCCAGGCTTAGTTACCTGTGGTCAACCATGGCCCAAAAATGTTAAATGGGAAGGTCCAGAAATAAACAATTCATATGTTTTAAATTTCTCACTATTCTGAGTAGTGTGATGAAATCTCACATTATCCTACTCTGCCCCACACAGAAGTAAATCCTCCTTTTGTCCAGGGTCTCCACACTGTACATGCTCCCTGTCTATTAGTCAGTAGCTGTCTCAATTCTCAGTTTCACTGTCACATATTGCAGTACTTATATTCATGTCACTCTTATGTAACTTAATAATGGCCCCAAAGCACGAGTGTAGTATTCTGGATTCTGGCAATTTAGATATGCCAAAGAGAAGTGGTAAAGCGTTATTTTTTTGGGGGGGGGAA
Source organism: Homo sapiens (assembly GCF_000001405.40). Lineage (NCBI taxonomy): Eukaryota > Metazoa > Chordata > Mammalia > Primates > Hominidae > Homo > Homo sapiens. The sequence continues at coordinate 195,857 of NW_017363814.1, read as the reverse complement.
AGTGAAAGGTGAAAGTTCTCAATTTAATAAGAAAAGAGAAAAGATTGTATGCTGAGGTTGCTAAGATCTACAGTAAGAATGAATATTCTACTTGTGAAATTGTGAAGAAAGAAAAAAAAATTTGTGCTAGTTTTGCTATGGCACCTCACGATGCAAAAGTCATGGCCACAGGGCATGGCAAATGCTTAGTTAAGAATGGAAAAGGCATTAAATTTGGGGGTGGAAGACTTGAATAGAAAAACGTGTTCAATTTGACAGTAACATGTTGCAACAGAAAGCATTGAGCCCTCTATGAAGGCTTCAGCAAGGAATCCCCTGAAACGAGTGACCCTAAGCCATTTACTGCAAGTAAGAGATGGTTACACAGATTTGGAAATAGGTTTGGACTGAAAAATACAAAAACTACTGGAGAGGCTGCATCTGCCAACAAAGAAGGTGCTGCCGCATTTCTGAAGATGTTGAATAAGGAGAAAGGAAACCATCTAAAGCAAATCTCTAATTGCCGTAAAGCTAGGCTTCGGGAAGAAGATGCCCAATGGAACCTACATTCATAGATGTACAAAGGAAGCACCAGGGCATAAAACATGGAGGGACAGATGAACTCTGGTACTATGTGGCAACACTGCAGGACATATGATAAAATCAAGTGTAGTATACAAAGTGAAGAACCCACATGCTCTCTGAAACAAAAAATTATCTGCCTATGTTCTGGCAACATAATAATAAAGCATGGGTGACACACATCTTGTTTATGGAATGGTTCCACCAGTGCTTCATTCCAGAAGTTAAAAAAAAAAATACTTGGATGAGGAAAGGTTGGAATTCAAAGTTCTGTTAATATTAGACAATGCACCTGGCCATCTTGCTATGAAAATGAAAATGTTGAGGTTGTATTTTTACCTCCAAATAAAACCTCATTGCTTCAGCCCCTTGAGCAGGCATCATTTGGTTTATCAAGGTCACACACCTGCCTGGTATTTGAGTTATCAAGGTCACACACCTGCCTGGTATTTGATCAGCCACTAATTGATTGATGCAGATCATAATCTGGATGTAATGTAATGCTGGAAATCATTCACTGTTGCTGTCGCAGTAACATTCATCAAAGCTGCCATGCATGAATTAAAACCAGAAACTGTAAATGCCTGCTGGAAGAACTTCTAGAGTGAAGTCATGAATGATTTTAATGGCTTCCTGGGGATTGACGGAAAAGTTAGGAAAATAATTCACACAGCAAGACAAGTTGGTGGAGAAGGGTTTGCCGACATGCTTGATGAAGAAGTAGAAGAACATATTGAAGGCCAATGAGAATTGTTAATAAATGAGGAAGAAATTTTTGAGTCATCTACAGAGAAAGGGAAGACAAAGAAGAAACTAAAGCAGAACGAACAATGTAGACATTACTGAAATTTGCTCAAGTGTTTCCAATCACACAGATATGAAAAGACAAAATTATAGAATACAATCCTCAGATAAAGTGCAGCATTGAAGTCACCCATATGATCACAGGATTATAACCTCTGTACCAACACTTTGATTAAAAACTGACAAGCTTTCTTTTTTTTTTTTTTTTGAGACGGAGCCTTGCTCTGTTGCCCAGGCTGAAGTGCAGTGGCATGATCTCGGTTCTCTGCCACCTCCACCTCCTGGGTTCAAGCGATTCTCCTGCATCAGCCTCCCAAGTAGCTAGGACTACAGGCATGCGCCACCACACCCAGGTAATTTTTTGTAATTTTTTTAGAGACGGGGTTTCACTGTGTTAGCCAGGATGGTCTCGATCTCCTGTCCTCGTGATCCACCCGCTTCACCCTCCCAAAGTTCTGGGATTACAGGCGAAGCTTTTATTACAATGATTTCCAAAAGGTTTTGGAAAAACAAACAAACAAACAAACAACAAAAAAAAAACCCCTGCAACTCTCAAGTACTCCCAACCATCAACATCATCTGCTCTTGACATCCAACCATCGACATCATCGTGGCTCGTTGATCCAGGACCACTTGAAGCAGATGATGATCCTTCTCCTGACATACCATCAGACATTCAGTAGTAGCCTACTGCTATGTCACAGTGCCCATGTCATTTACCTCACTTTACCTTATCATGTGGGCATTTTGTCATCTCACATCATCACAAGAAGAAGGATGAATACAGTACAATACGATATTTTGCAAGAGAGACCACATTCACGTAACTTTTACTACAGTATAATTGTTCAATTTTATTAGTCGTTGTTAATTTCTTACTGTGCCTAATTTAGAAATTAAACTCCATCATAGGTATGCATATATAGAAAAAAGCATAGTATATATAGGGTTTGGTACCATCCACAGTTTCAAACATTCACTGGGGGGTCTCAGAATATATCCCCCACAGGGAAGGGGGAACTACTGTACTAGAATTTTCGAATTTTTGAAAGCCTCTGTGTGCCCCTTCCTTTTTATATCTCTTTTTTCCTTTCTCTTTTTTTTTTGTTGTTCAGAAATATGTGTACATTGCAGAATATCTAAATTGAGCCAATTAACATACACATCACTTTATGTCTCTCTTTTTTGTCCCAGAGATAATTAGTAACTTGAATTTGTATTGATCACTGGCTTCTTTTTTTCTCGTAAAGAAAGACAGGTTCTCACTTTGTTGCCCAGGCTGGCCTCAAACTCCTGAACTCGAGCAATCTCCTTGCCTTGGCCTCCTGAAGTTCTGGGATTATAGGCATGAGCCACTGCACCCAACTGATCGCTGACATTTTTGGTTATAATTTTTCCACTGCATTTGAATTTCTAAACAATATGTCATTTACTTTTACCTTGACTTAAGTATGATAATAGAATCATGCTACGTACTCTTCTATGACTTTATTCCTTTGCTCAACATTTTTACTATGACTTACAGTGCATAAACCATTACATGTTAAAGAGAAATAGCAAAGAATGAAATGTACAGGCTTGTATGTCTCTTGTTAGATTTCTCCTAAGTACATTATGCTTTTTCTCACTACGGTAAATGAAAAAAAATGCTTTTCCTGACGGTGCTGGTGTATGTATTTGAAACTGATTTTTGTCTTTTGATTTTTTGTCTGGCAAATTTGCAAACTAGAGACTGACATTTTTCTGTATATTTGACACATAAAATCATATCTGAAAATGACCACTTTCCCCTGTCTGAAGTTATATAGTTATTTTTCTTATTTCGGTGGCTAGCCTCGTTACTTTAACATATATAAAGTCCAACATTAATCAATATTCTCTTCCTGAGTAATACAAGAGATTTGCAATTACTGATCTCGAAGTGCTCCTATATCAATTTACATGCTTTTGTGACCACAATTTTGGTTCTTTCAAATTAGGCATTATTAGTATTTTTCAGTTGATTTAGCTGCATCCTTGTTGATGTCTCTGCTAACCATTCTTTCTTACATCTCAGCCTTTCTTCTAGTATTATTTTTTTCTGCTTGAACTATCTCCTTTAGTGAGGGTTTGTATAGTAAGCTCTCTCAGATTTAGGTAGTTAAAAATGTACTTATTTAATCCATGCTTTTAAAATACTTTTGCTGGTCTTGTAATTCTAGATTCACAGTTATTTTATCTCATCATATTAAGATATTATTCTACTGGCTTCTGGCATCCCATTGTCGCATTAAGAAGCTAGCTGTTGATCTAAACGCCATTCATTTGTATCTTTTCTTGGAACTCCAATTAGACAAATGTTGGGCTATGTGACTCTCTGCTACATCTCTTTTTTATATTTTTCATCTGTCTTTCTCTTCATTCTGAGGAACTGTATTTTTCATTTCCAGTAGTTCTGTTGAATTTTTTTCAACTCTTTGTCTTTTGAAAAATAGCCTCTTGTTCCTTGCTCATATTTCCAAGGGTTTTTAATGTATTTAAACATATATAATAATTCTGTGTCCAACAATTCCTGCATCTGAAGCCTTTGATGTTTGGTTCTGTTGTCTATGGGTTTGCTTGCTGTCATTTATGGTGCCTTGCTTCTCTATGACTTTAGTGCTTGTAGACTATGAGCTACTCATTATCCTTGAAAGCTCTTTGACGATTCTCTGAAGCCTCAGTTGAATTTATGCCCTTAAAAGAGGATTTGCTTCCTTTTCTGCAATTCACCTGGAGAATCATCAGGGAGAAGCCAGTTTAAGTTTAATTCCTAAGAGTTTTAAATATGTATAACTATGATAGTATAGCTACCATAAATTCAGGCTTAAACTAATACGGAAGATTTTTTTTCTCCCTTTCAATCAACACCAAGGTTAAAAAAAAAAGTCAAGCTTCTGGTGGTTTTTTGGCCAAAACCTTTTGGAAGAACATTGTAATTAGAAGTTGTAGTCTCTTTCTTTCTAACTCATCACCGTTGCTGCAGATTGTAATCCTTCTGTGATCATATGGGTGACTTTGATGCTGCATTCCATCTGTGGATTGTATTCATGAGTTTGTTCTTTAATATCTACACAATTTGAAACACTTCAGCAAATTTCAGTTATGTCCACATTGCTAATTCTGCTTCAGTTTCAGTTTTCTTTTTTTTTTTTTTTTCAATAATGGCCACTGATTTGGAATATATGCAGCCTTTAGGTTTCCAGCTTTATGCTAGTTTTTCCTATTAGCCCCTTCACCTTTTGTGGGTTCTCACCTTATTTTCCACACTCCATGCAACTATCAGAAATGAATAGTAAGATAAAAGGTTGTGGTAGAAATCTTTGGAACAAAAATGAGCTGTTAGTACTTACTAACCTCTCAGGATTTCTGTCTTCATTTCTGTTTTGTCCTCTGTAGAATTCTTACAACTGTACCAACTCAATAATGCATTGTAATACATACACATATATGTCTATGCATATATATGTATTATATATATAATTTATCATGCATTTTAGTTGTTTTTATCATGAAGATTGGTCAAGTATATAGTTTAACATATTGCTGTCAAGAAAGCTTTTTTAAAACTTTAATTATGATATTAAATGCATCTTTTATGCTACCTTTGACAAATTATCATTAAAATTGTATCTAATTGTATAGGTTTTCTGAATGTATGTATTTTAAACATACACCACTTAAAATGTGAGACTGATATGTATAATAAATCAATAATATTTATCTCTAAGATTATAGTAACTTAAGAATAAAAGTGTGAGAAAACCATTTTATTAGTAATTAGTTTAATAAGTTGTCATTAGACAGATCTCTGATGAGAACTCTGTTTTCTGTCAATTTGTGCCAGTTTACCCTCTGTTCCATCGTCACAAACCAAGTTGACTCTGTATTTAAACTTCATGCCACTTTAGTGTAAAAACATGTATTTCTCACTGTCTAAATCAGCAGCAATTTTAGAGCTTGACTAAGGTTTTGTATGTAAATAACAGATGGCAGCATTCATTTTAGTATTTATTAGAGTGGCGCAAAACAAAACTGATCAAACTTTCAATGTTTCAAAGACATTGTTTAAGTAGGAGACGGTTTGAAAGCTACTGAATAACATAAATATTTATCACATTCTGCTTTGGTTTGTACAAATGCATGTACACAGTATATAATTGATGGAAGTAACCTGATTATGTTATCAAGCATGTAGCATTTGATGAATCTTAATCTCATTTGGATGTGTATTTCATAACTTTGTCAAAAGCTACATAATGTATGTATTTTTTAGAAGAAAATGTTACTACCATTTTTTTCTCAAGTTATTCCATAACTGGCACATTAACATATAAGCAAGAACATGAAGTTAGTATTTGTGAGGCTTCTTACTCTAAGGAAGGTGTTAGTTTCTGCGTATACCATTAGACAGAGTCCAGTAGTACTTTCCTCTCACTGATGACAGTACACGCTTGATGTCTTTGTGAAAACTACCCATGTATTATCCAAGGAAAAATGTGGATCTAGCAGCCTTGAATCATCCCACAGACTGGTTATTGTCTTTTCTACTTGCACGACTTTCACAGCATATGCCAGTTATTACCCCAAAAATAAAAACCATGCAAGGAAAGCATTAGAACCGTCGATCCATTCCAAGTGCAAAATTCCAATTATCAAAGCCTAAACACAAGCCTTTTATTAAAAATCAACTTTGATCTGCACTATAATTGGCACACTTTCTACTCAGTGACACGGGCAATTTAGTGTTGCATTTCTATTCTATTTTTCCTTTACAAACAGTAACAGAACATGATAGCCAGGCAAGTGCTCTTTTTGGTGGAGACAAGAGATCTGGGTGAGAGCTGTGGACCCACCTCAGACTCGGGCTCTGGTGACATTTCGGGGTGTGGGAATCAGCCTTTGTTTCAGGGAGGTTTCTGAAGACCACCTAGTTTCATCACCAGCATATCAAAAAGCATCTTAATTATTCTCCAGCTGCCCAAAGTTAGAGCTACTCTAAATTTTCTGCCAGGGGTGTTGGTCACAACAGACTATGGTTTGTGAAGTAATTTGGTTCTAGTACTAAATTGATAACTAAATTTGATATCAAAAAATGATACTGAGTTTATGAAATTTTAAATTTGGTAGTATAGTGAGTTAATATATATTGTTTTTTTTTCCTAACAGAATATAAGCTACAAAATCTCCCCCAAAACACCCAATAACAAAGACAGAATATTTGAACAGGATATGCCTCCCACTAGAATTCAAGTAGGTGCCAGATGACCTAAAGCTTCTTGGACTAGGTTATCTGGGGAAGCTGATTCAGATAGAGCAATAAAAACTGCAGCTCCCAGGCCATAGTTACGGAACATAGTTCCAGTACAGATTCTTTCACCAGAGGATCGAACTTCTAGTAGTTGATGGCTATTAAATGTTCTCTTTCTAAATTCAGAGTTCACAGAGATATTAAATCCATATGTGATGATGAGGGGCAGACAAACACGAGTAACACATCGTGGAATCTACATGTTACTACAAAGAGACATTCCAAATATGCGTTATGTCACTTGCTCCTCACAGCCACTCTTTGAAGTCATTGTTAACATCCCATTTTATATAGAAAAGGAGACTCAGCTTTATGTCAACCGCATAACTTATCCAGGTCACAAAGTTAGGAGGTGGTGGAGCCAGGTAATTGACCTAAATTAAATTTCTAGGCCTCGGATTTATGCCTGGTTTCAGGTTTCTCTAACTCCAAATTAGTGTTCATTCAGAAACTCTCTATTTGATGGACTTGCTGACAGTGAAAGCCAAGTAAATAAAAATAATACATTGAGTCGGAAATTTTATTGTAAAGTGGAGGAAAAAACAGTAAAATCTAGACAAGGAAATTATGTTAAAGGAGTAAGTTTCTTAATTTGCTGGGGGTGGGGGAAACTAGAGTATGGCATCACCCTCAAAAATCTGCTTCCCTAACCTGGATCTGCCTTTTATATGAGGGCATAAAAGTATTACTGTGTGCCTTCTGGAGGCCAGACCCTGAGCCAGACACTGGAGATATGATGGTACGTAAGAGATGGTGTATGGAGCTTATAAACAAGAGGAATAATAGGACAAAAAACAGATGAAGGTGAACAAAGCGATGATGCAGCTGCTGGGAAATGCAGAGGCTTTGTAAGAGACTTTGGGGAGGTGATGGTACAGGGATGGTGATCTGGAAAAATCCCTGAGGAAGAATCGCTGTGTGAGCCATTCCAGGCTGATGGAACCGCATGCGTGATGACTCTTTAATAAGCATTCAAGAAGCAGATGCATATTATGATCATGGAAGGGTTTCATGCAGAACAATGACAGCATCTTTTTTTTTATTAAATTCAGAATGAAAACTGGATTAGGGAGAGACCAATTTTGTGGCTAATGCAGGGGACAAGGTGGGAAGTGCTGGTGGCTTGAAGGAAGGCAGCAGTAATGGGGCTGGAGTGAAGCTAAATTTGAAAGATAGACTTTCCAGACATGGCCAGGGGGTAAATATGGAGAGAGATAGCTCCCAGGTCTTGGTATTTCATAGTTTCTTTCTCTCTACATATTTGAACCTGCAAACATCTGCAAGATCCCAAATCTTTTCACAATGACCCGGGTCGGTGGGGAAAGGAGGCCCGGCAATGGGAGGCTTTTGCGGGACAGGTGAGCTGTGAGCACATGAGGCAAAGATGCTTTGAGTCATTTTAAGAATAACTATGGCCAGGTGCTGTGGCTCACGCCTATAATCCGAGCACTTTCAGAGGCCAAGGCAGGTGAATCACGAGGTCAGGAGTTCGAGACCAGACTGGCCAACATGGTGAAAACCCGTCTCTACTAAAAATACAAAAAATTGGCTGGGCATGGTGGCGGGTTCCTGTAACTCCAACTACTCAGGAGGCTGAGGCAGGAGAATCGCTTGAACCCGGGAGGCGTAGGTTGCAGTGAGCCGAGATTTCACCACTGCACTCCAGCCTGGGCGACAGTGCGAGACTCTGTCTCAAAACTAAATAAATAAATAAAATAAAAAATAAAAGAATAACTACAACATCATTTTCTTTTTTTTCTCCTTGGAAATAAAAATAGGACAACTCACTGTGAAAGAACCCAAGTTTCTTGATTTTGAAGTCAGAAATGAGGTTCAACTCATCGTTTTAGCTGAAAGTAGTGGGCATAGAGCCTATTGCAAAGTAGCAGTCTTGATACAGGATGAGAATGATAATTCACCATGCTTTGAACAAAGCATTTACCAGGCATCAGTGTCTGAAAGCCAACTCTACAATGCTCATGTCATACAGGTAACAGAAATATATTTGTGTGTGTGTGTGTGTGTGTGTGTGTGGGTGTGTCTGTGTGAGAGAGAGAGAGAGAATTATTACAAGTCAATGTACATAAAAATTTCTAATCCCTGTAGTACAACACTCTTTCCAGGCCATGTACATTTTATAGATGGGATGAAACCTTAGGTTAAAGAAAATCTGAAATTCTTGCACTGTCTCTTCCTCTTTATTTATTCAGTGCTCAATTACTGACATCTGCTTTCTCTAGGAGTACTGTTGAGCACTAGAAGTATGCATTTATTAATACAATAGAAGTATGCATTTAGTGTAATGAGTGAAAAGAGGAGACACAGCCTCCTCCTGAAGGAGGAGTGTAAGACTTCATAGAATAAGGATATTTACACTAAGTCTTCAAGGTGAACAGGCATGTGGACGGATCTGCTTTCAGGACTAGCCCCATCTCAGTAAAAGGCCCCAAGTCCTGGAGAAGCATCCATTCACAGGGAAGTTTTGTTCATGCTGTAAAACCCACCCATCCTTGATACTTTCTCCACCTGCCTCAGGACAAGTGCTTGTTTCATCTTTCCCTCCACTATTGAATTGAGTTTTTGTAGTCAGGAAGCTGGGCATTAGGAGATCTCTAACCTCCCGTGACTTTGGAAAGGAAATCAGTATAAATCCAACTTCCAGGCAAAGTTAGCCACAGGGAGGGTCATTCCTTTTGGCCCCTGGAATGTCATGGCTGTGGTCAGCACTTCATGCTTATTACACCCCTTTTTCTCTGGGCTAGGTGGGGTAAGGCGTTTACATGGCATGCTAGCATATTTTCTGGACAAAACCTGCAACAGTTCTTTACTGTGCAGACACCTTCACCTCATTATATAAAAAGACCCCACAGTGGCTCACAACTGTAATCCCAGCACTTTGGGAGGCCAAGGCAGGTGGATCACCTGAGGTCAGGAGTTCGAGACTAGTCTGACCAACATGGTGAAACCCCATCTCTACTAAAAATATAAAACTAGCCTGGTGTGGTGGTGGGCACCTGTAGTCCCAGCTACTTGGGAGGCTGAGGCAGGAGAATTGCTTGAACCTGGAAGGCAGAGGTTACAGTGAGCTGAGATCATGCCATTGCACTCCAGCCTGGGCAATAAGAGCAAAACTCAATCTCACAAAAAAAAAAAAAAAAAAAAAAAAAGCCTTTCTTTTACTGCAATTCCAGTTTCTGAAGCACATATCCATGCTGTTGGTGAAAACAAGACCAATAGAGTCTCAGCTGCCTTGGAGTTTTAGCTCTGTGCCCCTACACCCCGTCCAGGATATCTGGGATCCCCTAGGCTATGACTGCAGGTGTATTTTGTTTTATAGCAGCCTGATTGCTCTAGTCACCAGCCTGTTCCAGATGTGCTGTGTCTTTACCCTGGTTTCAGCCATGACTGAGATGTTTCAGAAGAAAGAACATTCACTTTTCCAGTCTTTATCATCCCTGCCCAGTGAGGCTGATCAGTGGGGATGGCAGATGCCTCCATTGCCACCTTGTCACAAGAGGATCCCCACACTGGGGCCCTGCATCGTTTCACTTCTCTGTCCCAAATGCTAACTGGGATGGAGCTAAATTGCTCAGTGTGAAATAAGTGAAGGCAAAGACCCATATAAAGCCCAGGTGCACTGAATGAGAGAGAGCCTGACCCACCAGCCCTTCAAATTATGGCAGACTTGTAGAAGGCTGAGTCAGGGACAGATAGAATGAACTTTGTTCTTTCCATTTTCCAATCATTGAGTTCCCAGGAAGCTAGCACTACCATTCTGCTGTGTCCTGTTCAGAAAATTAGAAATGAAGGAGGCTCTGGAGCTCATACCAATTGTGGTGGTTGCTTCCTGGTTTTTGACCCCACATTGCTCAATGCCCTCCTTTGGTTACAGCCCCACAAACTCCTTTGAGGGTCTGACCCTCTGTTGATGCAGTCCTGGGGGTGTTGTCATCAAGATATTGACCTGCCTCCCACTCCCATCCCGCCAAAGGTGTGGTGAACTGCCTTGCTTCTCTCAGTCACACAGACTTTCTCTCCCTGAAATTTGAATCTTCGGTGAAGGGACACCAAGACAGAGACAAATTACAGCCAATTCATCTTGATGACAACAACTCAAAGAAGCTGTGCTTTACATTCCCTAGAGCCACTCAGGCTCTTGTATTCACTGGGCACTGTCTTTCTGATACATCTCTCCCCGGTTGGGTTAGCACTAGTTAAGATGTGCCGGTACCCTAGAACCATAGCTGATAGACCACCCAGAGATACTCTCTGTAGCACTTTTTTTTTTGAGACGAAGTCTCGCTCTGTCGCCAGGCTGGAGTGTGGGGGCGTGATCTCGGCTCACTGCAACCTCCGCCTCCCAGGTACAAGCAATTCTCCTGCCTCAGCCTCCTGAGTAGCTGGGACTATGGGCGTATGCCACCACGCCCAGCTAATTTTTGTATTTTTAGTGGAGATGGGGTTTCACCATGTTGGCCAGGATGGTCTTGATCTCTTAACCTCGTAATCCACCCGCCTTGGCCTCCCAAAGTGCTTCTGTAGCACTTTTAAATGTATGGCTCCAAGGGATATAGTGGACTTTGATGCAGACTGGTTTCTTTTCTTGGTGATCCCAAAGGAAACTGCATATTGCAGCCTTTCGGTCCCAAGAGCTGTCCCCTGTCTGATGAGCTCCTGGATACTGCACCTGGGTCACTCAGGGTCCCCTGAGAACTCTGGCAGCAAAGTGAAGGATAAATTGAGATGGTAGGAAATTAGAATGAAAACCCACTAGGACATTCATCAGTATAGTAGCCCAGGAGAGAGATGACAGGGGACAGGAGCTAAGACTAAGGCTCAGGGGCATAGAAGATATAAACAAGTAAAAAGTAATTAATTAATTTGTCAACTTGTTCTTAATCAAGATACCAAATCCACTAACATAATTGGTTTAGTGATTAAAGTTTATTGCAAAATGATGGAGAATGATGTAAAACTTCTGTTTTATCCTCAACACAACTTTGATAACTCATCAAATACATGATTAGGATCTACACTTCTTAGCACTAAATCTAGGTTTTGTTTCACTTGTTTAATGATCCCTTTAAAATGAAACTTTAGGGCCAGCCACAGTGGCTCACACCTGTTATCCCAGCACTTTGGGAGGCTGATGCAGGTGGATCGCTTGAGCCCAGGAGTTCAAGACCAGCCTGGGCAAAATGGGAAAACCCCATCTCTACAAAAAAATACAAAAATTAGCTGGGCATGGTGGCGCATGCTACTTGGGAGGCTAAAGTGGGAGGATCACTTAAGCCCAGCAGGCTGAGGCTGCAGTGAACCATGAATCACATCACTGCACTCCACCCTGGGTGACAGTGCCAGACTCTATCTCAAAAATAAAATAAAATAAAACTTTAAATACAATATAAAAAAATTCACACCTAGCCAATTTTATAGGTAATTCTTTAAGCAGAAAAACAGAGCAAATGAAAAAAAAATTATCACTATGTGGAGATTTCCCATAACATTTTTTCCCTTTACTTGTGCTAGCATGAATTCATATACACTATTGGAACTCTCCTATTCAAGCAACTTAGATGTTTTTAAAAATATTTCTTCTCATTGCACAAAATTATACCTCAAAAACATGTACCATGTCTACTGAGAGCTATTTGAAAATTCTTTGGATGAAGAATTTCCCCCATCACTCAGTTTATCATAAAGTTAAATGTAAGCTTCAGTTGTCTGTTGGTATTTCATTTCATCGTTGTTTTTAAAATATGTTTGACAAGCTGTGATTCTTTCTTAATGCATGTCTCTGAAAAACAGACTGAACCCATATTGCAGAATAAATCTTATCTAATGAAACAGTCGGTTCCTCACAGGTTTTTGCTACCGACTTGGACAGTGGTTTGAACGGCCTGATTGAGTATTCTATTCTGTCTGGCAACCAAGAAGAAGCATTCCAGATTGATGCACTGAGTGGTGTGATAACAACAAAAGCGATTCTAGATTACGAGCTCACCAGCTCCTACAGGTTGGTCCAGGGTTCAGATCCATTGGCTCCATTTATTCTGCCTGCTTACTGACAACATTGCTGTTTTGTTCATAACTTCCTGTTACGTAAGCTTATTGTAAAATGTGTTATCCCTTTGATCCAACTTGTTGATATTCTCTTTGATCTACTCTTTTTGATATTGAAAATAGTCTCAGCCATTATTTGTATTTGGAAAAAAGTGATTAAAATAGCAAAACTTTAAGGTCCCTTCTAGTTCTAAGATTTTATGAATTTGTGATGCTATTAAGCACTAAATGGGGGACACTAAAAAGATAATGTTTGTGAGATGTCTAATGAACTAGAGAGCCCTCTGCAGGTGTTTGTTGTTATTGTTTTTTTAAAACGTGACGACTGAGGGATACCTTGCTTTTTGATTCTTTATTCTTGCATATGAAAGTACAACGCTGTCTTGAAGGTCCTGTTGCAGTTCTGTGTTCTAATAGAAATGATCTTATTAAACGCATACATTTAACATTAAAACTTTGTGCCTAGAGTCTAAGATATGCCAGCCTTATACAGAATTCAACAAAGGAAATAATAATAGTGTTTAAGTTTTCTTGGTGTTTAAAAAAATCAGTGCTACCAAAGACTAGACTTATACAGAGAGATAGTGATGGGATCACAATTTGTGGAAGCAAAAGCCTTTTTTTTTTCCTTTTCTGAGACAGAGTCTTATTCTGTCGCCCAGACTGGAGTGTAGTGGCACAATCTCAGTTCACTGCAGCTTCTGTCTCCTGGATTCAAGCAATTCTCCTGCCTCAGCCTTCCAAGTGGCTGGGTTTACAGCCACCTGCCACCATGCGTGGTTAATTTTTGTATTTTTAGTAGAGATGGGGTTCCACCATATTGGCCAGGCTGGTCTCAATCTCCTGACCTCTAGTGATCCACCTGCCTTGGCCTCCCAAAGTGCTGGGATTACAGGCTTGAGCCACTGCGCCCAGCCAGCAAAACACTGTTAAGAATTCTAAAATATCCATGAGTGGGGACTGCTTAAAGAATTAGCAAAACCCTGGAATAGAATACTATGAAATACCATGAAGCTGATTTTACAAAAGAAAGAGGCATAACTCTATGTGCCGATGAGGATGGAGCTCTAGGATATGTGACTAAGTGAAGGCAGTAACGAGACCCACTACCATGCTTATCCAGCATGCCTGTTTGAGTAAAAGCACACCCGCATATTGAGAATGCTTCTGGAAGAAAATATAAGAAACCGTTCACCTTATTTGTCTCTGGAGAAGCAGTCAGGCAGCCTGTGGTCCAAGAGAGGCTTAGCTCTTTTACTGAACATTTTAGTATGCTTTAGATAGATGTTGTGTTTTTCGGTTTTTCCAAAAGGCCTTGCTCATACTGTATTCTATTTAATCCTCGCAAGCACCTCCTGAGGATGTTAAGGTGGGCATTTTCTTATTTGCTGATAAGGCAACAGAAATACAGTGGCTTGCTCAGGGTCATAGGATAATTTGAGGTTCAAAAGTGAACTTGCACTTAAGTATTCTGCTTCTAAGTCACAGTCTTTCCACTGTAGAGCTGCAGAGCAGACATCCTGTTTAAGGAAAACACAGGTACAGTATACCAAAGACAGTGAGTGTCAGTATGCTTCTACACCAGACTACTTTTATGTTTTATGAAAAAATTATAATATGTGCATGTGGTTGAGCAATGAGAGCTGATTAAACTGGAATATCTTACTGGCTATATTGGATTAATTACCCTCTGGAAAACCTCCCAATGCTAAAAATTTAAATGTTTAGTTTTTTGTTTAATATACTTCAAAAGTATTTTAAAAGTTTAAGACTTTATCCTGTATTAACTATTATAAATTTTAAAATAATATTTTAGCATAATAGCTATTGGTACTTATTGTTTAGATATATTAAAACCTATTCCCTGCTACATTGTTTCTATAGTAATTGTTTAAGCATGAAACTTTTCTCCTCTTCCACGGATGACTGCAGATAAATCTCAATCTAATTGAGTGATTACAAATTCAGGAATTATTAAAGGTCTGCCATGTTCTAAGAACTAAGCATTTTCTGATTTTAAGGACTTTCTGTTACAGTGTTCTTCTTACTCAATGGAACCTAATTAACAATTAAATCTAATTTCTTTCAACTTTTTCCTATTTGCGTCATGGTTTCTATGTTCACAATATTAAATTGGTCCCAATATTAAAAATGACTCTCTCCCATTGCCATGAAGAATTTAACTCTAGGCTTGAAGAAGCAGGAACTGAGAAAAGTTGAACCCCCTACACACTGCCACAGAGAGATACACACAGGTAACAACACACACACACACACACTCTCTCTCTCTCTCTCTCTCTCCAGCATCACCAAGGCAAGGAATTATTTTAAACCTCCTTCCTCCCTGGGCTCTCCCCACACCCCGCCCCCCACCCCGCACAACACCTGCTGTGGCATGGCTTCTATCCTTTAGTGCTTTTCTTGATATTTAAGGCAATAAGAAATAAAGGAGGATTTTCCCTAGTCTGCTACACCTTTAGTGAATGTTCTGGAAACAGTCTCATTTAGCTTCCAACTTTTTACTTTTGAAGTATTGCTATTTTGTCTGATCGAGGAAAGTATCCCAATTCCAGCCCTTTGTTTTAAAATATAAAACATTTCCTCAAAAAAATAGAGCTACCATACAATCTAGCATTCCTGCTCCTAGATGTATACCCACTAAAAAGAAATCACTATATCGACAATTTATTGCAGTAATATTCACAATAGCCGAGGTTTGGAAGCAACCTAAGTGTCCATTAACAGGTGAATGGATAAAGAAAATGGGATACATATACACAATGGAGTATTATTTAGCCATTAAAAGAAAAAAAGAAGAATGAGATCCGGTCATTTGCAACAACATGGATGGAACTGGAAGTCATTATGTTAAGTGAAATACAAACATCACATGTTCTCACTTATTTGTGGGAGCTAAAAATTACAACAAATGAACTCAAGCAGATAGGGAGTAGAAGGATGGTTACCAGAGGCTGGGAAGGGTCAGGGAGGATTGAGGGCAAGTGGGAATGGTTAAAGATTACAAAATATAGTTGGAATGAATGAATAAGACCCAGTATTTGCTGGTACAAAAGGGTAACTATAGTCAAAAATTTAATTATACGTTTAAAAATAACAAAAAGATTATAATTAAAAATAACTAAAAGATTTGGATTGTTTGTAACACAAAGGATAAATGCTTGAGGTGATGGATACTCCATTTACCCTGATGTAATTGATACACATTGCATGCCTGTATCAAAATATCTCATGTAACCCATAAATGTATACACCTACTATGTACCCACAAAAATTAAAAATTGAAAAAGAAAAGATTTCCTATTATATTCTTCAATTTCCAAGACTTGGGCAATTTAACCTTTAATTAGTGATGCATTTTTTAAAATAATAATAAATTAAAACATAAAATGGAAAAAGGGAGATAGTATCAGTCATGATTCTACTAAATATGAATGTATTAAATAATTTTTAGTTTTCATATTAAGCCACATAGAAGAAAATTCAGTGGAAATTCGATGACAAATTATAAAATAGGCATTAATTTCTGTTTGATGTTTATGAATATACAAAAAGCTATTTATCAAGCATGAAGCTGGGGACACAAAGACAAATGCAAGAGCCCTTGTTCTCAAGGAGTTTGAAAATCGAGTCCTGGCCAGGTGCAGTGGCTCATGCCTGTAATCCTAGCACTTTGGGAGGCTGAGGCGGGCAGATCACCTGAGGTCAGGCGTTTGAGACCAGCCTGGTCAACATGGCAAAACCCCGTCTCAACTAAAAGTTCAAAAATTAGCCAGGCATGGTGGCGGGCTCCTGTAATCCCAGCTACTCGGGAGGCTGAGGCAGGAGAATCGCTTGAACCCGGAAGGTGGAGATTGCAGTGAGCTGAGATCGCACCACTGCACTCCAGCCTGGGCAACAAGAGTGAGACTTTGTCTCAAAAAAAGAAAAAGAAAATCAAGTCCTAGTAAGATATATGGCAGAAGGCACATTAATAATCACAATAGTTTCCATTTATGGAACTCCTGCTTCACATTTATTATCTAATTGAATTCTTGTAATAGACATGATTTATAAAATAAAGAAATGGGAACTCAGAGAGGTAAAGTGGTTTGGCCAAGAATCCGAAGCTAGTACATGGTAGAACATGATTCTAGCCGATGTGAATGATTGCAGGGCTTATTTTATGATGTGAATGAATCTTAAAAGTATATGCATGTACATTTACAAAATAAATAAATATTCAAGGCAAGCAGTTATTTTCAGGAGCAATGCTAAACTCAGTGTATTCTCCATTGAATGCTCATTATGACTGGGAGAAAGCAATTTTACAGGCAACGTAGGAAATGGACTGAGATGTTAATTATCTTTTTCAAAATACACAATTCATGAAAAGCAAAGCTGGGATTGGAATCCCAGTCTATTGATGCCCTGAGAAAAAGGGAATAAAAAGGATTTGGGGCCAAAGGCACGGGAACGTGAAAGTGTTTGGTATGTTTGGAAGTAGCAAGTAGTACAGCACACCAAAGAAGCAACTAAGTTTGGGGTAATGAAAGAGGCAGCAGGCAAGTTTTGAAAGACTTTCTGTGTCTCGTAGTGGAAACTAAACATTATTCTGTGAACTACATACAACTATAAGCAGTTGAACGAATGTTTGTATCTTTATTTCTAAAGACACCTCATAATGGATGCACTGCAAGAGAGAGAACTAGCTTAGGCCAACAAGCTGAGCTAGACTGCAGCAATGAAAAGTCTGTTACATGGATGGTGCAGTGGGGACAGAAGGAAGATACATACTAAAATATTGATTCAAATATGGAATCCATAGGAACTTGATCACCAATTGAATTTATCGAGCAAGAAAAGAGATAGAATGGTTCTTTTTCTGCTTAGGAAAGGAAGGGAGAGGAACAGATGGAGATTATGATTTTTTTATTCTGGGTATTTTGAGGTGGAAGGACCAATACAAGAACAAAAGTAAAGATACCCTTTTGGCAATTGAAAATAATAATCTGTAGCTCAGGGTAGGGGTCTTCACTCAAGATATGGATTTGAGATTCATCCAGGGAAAATGTGTAAAATGAATTACCTAGGGAGAATATGTAAAATGAGAATTGAGGAGTGGTGACTTATCACCACCTCAGGATTCGGCCGATAAATAGGAACTGCAAAATATATTTAGGGAATAGAAAGATCTAGAAAAAGATAATGTCATGGAGACCAAGGGGAGAGGTTGGGCTGAAAGAAGACTTCAAAATATGTTTGCATTAGAATCACTAAAAATACAGTCATCTCTCAGTATCCATGAGGTATTGGTTGTGAGACTCTCCACTGCATCCCTCCCACTCCCCCATCCAAAAATCCATGGATGCTCACATTTCTTATATAAAATGGCATAGTATTTGCATATTACCTATGCAATCCTCTCATATAGTTTATTTTTATTTATTTATTTTAATTTCAAATTTTATTTTAGTTACAGGAGACATGTGTGCAGGTTTGTTACATAGGTGTGTTGTACTATGTAGTGAGCACAGTACTCAGGTAGTTTTTCAACCCATGCACCCTCCCTCCCTCCCCCTCAGCAGTTCACAGTGTCCATTATTCCCATGTTTATGTCCATGCATGCTCCATGTTTAGCTCCCATTTGTAAGTGAGAACATGAGCTATTTTGGTTTTTTGTTTATGTGTTAATTTGTTTAGGATTATAGCCTCCATCTCTATCCATGTTTCTGCAAAAGACATGATTTTATTCTTTTTTATGGCTGCATAGATCACATTTTCCTTATCCAATCCACCATTAACAGGCACCTAGGTTGCCTTTTTGCTATTGTGAATAGCGTGGTGATGAACATATAAATGCATGTATTTTTTGCTCTAATGATCTACCTTCCTTTGGGAATATACCCAGCAATAGGATTGCTGGGTCCAATGGCACTCTGTGGTAAGTTCTTTGAGAAATCTCCAAACTGCTTTCCACAGTGGCCGAACTATTTTACATTCCCAACAATGTATTAATGTTCCCTTTTCTTCACACTCTCACTAGCATCTTTGTTTTTTGACTTTTTAATAATAGCCATTCTGACTGGTATCTCATTATGTTTTGATTTGTATTTCTCTGATGATTAGTGATCATGAGCATTTTTTTATATGTTTGTTGGCTGCTTCTGTGTCTTTCTTTGAAAAGTGTCTGTTCATGTCCTTTGCCCAATTTTTAATGGGATTATTTGGGTTTTGCTTGTTGATTTAAGTTCCTTGTAGATTCTGGATATTAGACCTTTGCCAGATGCATAGTTAGTGAATATTTTCTCTCATTCTGTAGGTTGTCTCTTTACTCTGCTGATTATTTCTTTTATTGTGCAGAAGCTCTTTAGTTTAATTAGATCCCATCTGTCAATTTTTGTTTTTTGTTACAATTGCTTTTGAGGACTTAGCCAAAAATTTCTTGCCAGGGCCAATTTCAAGAAGGGTATTTCTTAGGTTTTCTTCTAGGATTTCTATAGCTTGAGGCCTTATATTTAAATCTTCAATTCATCTTCAGTCAATTTTTGTATATGGTAAAAGGTAAGGATCTAGTTTCATTCTTCTGCATCTGGTTAGCCAGTTATCCCAGTACCATTTATTGAATAGGGAGTGCTTTCCTCATTGCTTGTTTTTGCTGGCTTTGTCAAAGATTGAATGGTTGTACGTGTGTGGTTCTATTTCTAAGTTTTCTATTCTGTTCCATCACTCTGTGTGTTTGTGTTATATCAGTACCATGCTATTTTCATTACTGTAGCCTTATAGTATAGTTTGAAGTCAGGTAATATGGTGCCTCCGGCTTTCTTCTTTTTACTTAGGATTGAGTCTGTTTAGGCAGAAAAGAAGTATTCAATAGATACATAAAGATTAAAGATTTTGATCTAAGCATATTTTCTTAATTTGATTTTTTATTATTATCAAAGTAATATATACATTTTTTAAAAAAATCAAATAGTGTATAGAGTGTAGATGAAAGTCAGCAACCACTGCCTCACCTCTCCCAAGGCTAAAGCCCTCCAGAAGCAGACACTATTAACTGATTTTCTCTGATATTATAAATACAAGTATGTAATAATTTATAACTTTAAACATTATCTCTTAACTTCCTGTTATAATAGATATAGGTGTAAAATCCTTACTTTCTCACACTCCAACTCTTTCTATATTCATATCACTGTTTTTCATTTAATCAGTAATTAGTGTTTATATTATATGAATCTATTCATGTTTACTTCATAGTCAAATCATATTATATGTTTTTTTCCTTTTATCACTACTCCTCAAGCCCCCAGTTTCTTTCCTGAGTGCCCAATTGGCTATATCTATGCACTGAATGCCTTGTAAATATCCCATAAGCTCTGTTATCTGCATCTAATTTATCCTCTAACTGCCTTTCATCAAATATTCTATCAAGCCCTCTTTTTTCATGAAGACCTGGTTCCTACTGCTTTATGCCCTCTCCATCTAGCATGAACAGTTTGGGTTAATAAACCTATTGCAAGGCTGAGATCCGATAACTTTGGTTTATAGCTCTCCGAGGTCAGGCCAGCACTTCCAGATCCCATGTCTTTCTCTTCCAATAGGTTTGCAGGAAAAGGTGCCACAGAAGTAAATTATCTGAGCCTTTGCATGTCTGAAAATGTCTTTATTCTACTCTTTCATGTAATATATGCAATGGACAATACAGAAGTTGAAAGTATCTTTTAGAATTTTGAAGGCATTGCTGTGTTATTCTCTGAAACCCAGTGTTGCTATTAACAAGTCTAGTGCCATTCTAATTCTTTTTTTTTTTTTTTTTTTTTTTTTTTTTTTTTTTTTGAGACGGAGTCTTGCTCTTCACCCAGGCTGGAGTGGTGTGATCTTGGCTCAGTGCAACCTCTGCCTCCCAGGTTCAAGCGACTTTCCTGCCTCAGCCTCTCAAGTAGCTGGGACTACAGGCACCCACTACCACACCCAGCTAATTTTTATATTTTTAGTAGAGATGGGGTTTCACCAAATTGGCCAGGCTGGTCTCGAACTCCTGACCTTAGCTCAGTGCAACCTCTGCCTCCTGGTTCAAGTGACTTTCCTACCTCAGCCTCCCGAGTAGCTGGGACTACAGGCGCCCGCTACCACACCCAGCTAATTTTTATATTTTTAGTAGAGATGGGGTTTCACCAAATTGGCCAGGCTGGTCTCGAACTCCTGACCTTATTATGATCCACCCGCCTCAGCCTCCCAAAGTGCTGGGATTAAAGGCATAAGCCACTGCGCCTGGCCACCATTCTGATTCTTTTACTTTGTATAATTTTTCCTTCTCTCTAGAAATTTATAGGTTATACTTATCATCCATAGTATTTTAAAATGTGATTGCATATTTTGATGTGGGTTTCTCCTTGTGCTGTGTATTCAGTGTTCACTTTTAATAAAAAGACATATTTCTTTTAATTTTCTTGTATTATTGAAAAGGAAAATTCATTGAAAATTTCCTCCCCTTTTTTTAGTTTTGTTTTGTTGTTTTGCCCTGTTTCATTTTCCTGAATCCTATTCAATTAGGTATTGGATTGCCTAGATGAATTCTTTGTTAGTTATATTTTATTTCCTACTTTCCATTTATTGTTTGTGTGTGGGTTTAGTTTTTGTTGTTTTATTTTGGGAAGATATTTCCTGAATTTTAATCTTCTAAAATTTCTTTTTTATTTTCTAATTAAAAATTGAGAGGATATTATATATTTGTTTTTACTTCTAAAAGCTCTTCTTTGATGTTTGACTTTTTAAATAATATCCAACTCTTGTTTTATGCACATGTTGTCTTCTGATATCTCTCCAAGGTATTAATTAGAATTGTTTTAAATTTTCTTTTGTTCCTTTCAATATCTGTTTCCACTGGGTTCCTTTTTTTTATTTGTCTATATTGAGCTCTCTTTTTCATGCTGAAGGCTTTCTGTAAATAAGTGTTGATTCTTAGATATAAGTGAGGCAATTTCAAAGTCATTAGAACCTCTGAGTGGGCTAGAGGGACTTGACTAGCACTCTTCACTTTCAAATGTACCACAGGGGAAGTCGACTATTTTTCAGGATGACATACAAATGGCAGTATATGGAGTTCACTTTTCTTTGGGAGGGGACTTTCAGTTCTCCAGAGAAGGTCTTTCAATATTACTAACCCCAAGTATGAACCAAAGGCATTCTTTGGCTGAGAATGCAGAGTAATGGGCAAGAGGGACAAAACTACCCTGTATTTAAAATAACATAAATAATCTTTCTATTTAAATAATCTGAATTTAAAATATTCTTCCTATTTTTATCTCAATACCTCACTGCAATATTTGCCATGTCTTGAGCCTCTCCTTGGTGACCTGGGAGCAACTCTGCTCCTCACGTATCTTTATGCTCCTCTGAATGCATTTTAAAAGACTTCTTTTAGAGTGGTTTTAGGTCCACAGCAAAATTGAGAGATGGTGCAGAGATTTCCTGTATATCCCTGCCCAAACACATGCACAGCCTCCCCTGTTATCAAAATCCCCACCAGATTGGTGCATTTTGATGAAGCTACACTGACACATCATTATCACTCAGATTTACAGTTTTCAGTGGGATCCACTCTTGGTGTTGTACATTCTGAGTGGATTTTAATCTCTGATTTCCTTTGGCCCACTCATCTGCAAACACTCTTCAATCTGCTTGTATCTTCCAGAATTTGTTGATATTTCTCATTCATTTCACCCACTAATATCTTCCCTCATTTTTTAGCTTTATGGACTTATAACTTATTATAAAAGGTTTTTGATATCATTTTAGAAGAATCTTGAGAGGAAGGGAAGATAAAACCTGTGTAGTCAGCTTGCTGTCTTTAACCAGAAATCATAGTTTTTCTTTTCATAGTTATTTCTACTGGTGGCTGATATTTTTTTTTTCAGAATTTCAGAAGGATTAGAAAATTCCTGCTAGACGTTTAAGATATAATTGAGAGTTTTGAAAAATCCTCTACCAACAAGTTTAGTACTTGTTAAGACAATCAAAGAGATCCTTCCTGGTCAAAAGCCTTATTTAAAGTTTAACATGGTAAAAGAAGCTTCCCATTGTTGATAGAACAGGAAAAAAATGCTCTGAATTTAAAAGGCTTAGAATGGGCCTGTTCTAAATCTGGTCAGTTTCATTTATTGTCTGTAGTGATAATAGTAATCAGGGCAACAGTTGTGGAACATGGAGTGAGTTGGACAGGCTACAACCAACAGTTTCACAACTGCGAAAGAGCCATCATAGATGGCTTGAAGTCTTGCAGAGGTTGTGTACAGAATATCTGCACATCTACCTTCATATTTTTTTATTTGTTCTTCAAGTCATTGAGGAACCTTTTCCTTTCCCATTTATTTTGATGCTAAACAACATATTTCTCTCCATATCAAAGAATCTCACTTCTTTTTAATCTGACAAGGCATTATGTAGGATGCCTGAAGTTGTAACATTGTGAAAATAATGGTAATTATGGCTACAGTAGAAGAGTTGATAGAAACTTAACTTTGATGTCTTGGCTGAGACTTTAGATGACATTGGAAGGGGCAAGCAGCAGGGGAGAAAGGAGTATGAGTTGATTATTTTTGGTAAAATATTTCCATATGTATCTGACTGACATTCATACTAACAAAATAAACTTTCAGCATATAATTATTCCAGAAGTTAGGCTCCAGAAATGTGAGATTCAGGTGGTTGTTCTACTAATATTCCAACTCTGATAATGCAGAAGGCAGCCTGTGTTCTTCATGAATAGTAGATAAGCCCTGATGATTTAATATTAAGTGGAATTCAAACCAAGAAGGAGTTGATGTTTATTTCATGTCATTTTTAAATTTAGGATTGGAAAGAGAAAGAACATTCATCAAGTGAATGTTCTAACAATGAAAACAAAGTGAAAGTGTATCAACTTTGAAGACATAGTTTCTTAAAAGGTGGTTCCCACAACTAGCTGAGACTAATTCCACTTCTGAAATAAAGAGCATCTTCTAATTAATAACTCATTTTATTACTCAGCCACCCTCCTAGCCTTCATCGTGTTCAGAGGGGAGTGAAAAATAAGCCAATAATTATACATTAGAATGTGATATATACACAATAAGAGAGGTATGTTCAACAAGTATCATGAAGCACAGGTTTCCAGTTGACCAACACATGAACCTGAATCCCAGCTCTGTCATATAATGTATGTATAACCTTGGGGAAATCTTGAGAAACCAACATTCAATACTTACTATAGAAAAGCAAATAAGGCGGCTCCCTGCCCATAAGAAACTTACAGAAGAGGCAGACAAATATGTTATTAAGAAAAAAGAGTGATGATTGCTATGGCAGAAGAATGTACAGGGTGCTATGCGAATACATAAAGGTGCATTTAAATCAAATGAAAGGTCCATGACAACTTCGCAGAGATGTGAGCTTTGAAAAACCAAGGTGTAAGGGCTGAGATTCCATGTAAAAGCAAGAACAAAAAAGTTTATGTGAACATGTTCAGGGGTTTGGATAACCTCTTAGAGACATGGAGAGCCAAAGAAGAGTTTTAAATAGGGAGGTCAGGTTTTCAAATTAGGATCTTAGTTAGAGCAATTGAGCGCAATATAGAGGGTGGATGGAACAAGAGGAGACTCACAGCAGGGAGGTTGGTAATTTATCAGGTCCTCCTGGTGAGAAAGGATACAATACATATAGAGCATTCCAGGTAAAAATGGTGAGGGGCTGAGGCTACAGGGGACTGGCTTGTCCAGGTTTGCCTGGGACTTTAGTGGATGTAGCACTGAAAGTCCCATGTCCAGTTTGCCTGGAGTATCTTGGTTTTAAAAACACTGCAAGTCTCATGTCCCAGGAAATTCTTCACTCCCAGACAAAGCAAAATGTGCTGATTACCATACATGAGGGCTCTGAAGGTAGGAGTGAAATGGCTGGGGACACTAATCCAAGTGACATCCAGGAGGTAATACCGATAAGATACATAATTAGTTGAACATTGGAAGGGTGGTGAGAGAAAGGGAGAAGTTGAAGACAGTAACAAGGTTTGTAGTTTGTTTGATGGACAAGCTCATTGTAGCATCATCCAAGAGAGATTAAATTAGTCTATGTAAATTCTTTCAGATCATGGACTTTTACCTCTACTTCACAATCCTAGCCAATCATACATCTTCTGTAAGTGTGTTCATCATAGCGGTGTCCTGTCTTATTTCTAGCATTTCGATTGATTTGCTATTTGGATCCAAAAATATCAGTACAAAGCAATCTTTTAGTGGCTACATCTTTTGTTGGTTCAGTAAGATGGAAATATGTAGCAATATCCAGACCAGGGCATGGCAAGGTGGAAACAGTCTACTTATCCAAAGTACAGATATTGGTGTTTCTATTTTTTAAGATTATTCTTCACAGGACAGGATTGAATTTTACAGTCTGGCTCTCCGAAATGGTCCATTTTGACATTAATGCCTCATGATCCCTGGCAGCTTGCTGGATTTGGTTCTCTGAACATGCCAAAAATAAATAAATTTCAGAGTACCATTCTTATGAAATACATTTTAAATGATGCCATTTAGAAAATCCAAGAGAAAAATAAAAGTAGCTAGTCAGCTCATTTTAAAATTTTCAACTAGATATTTGATATTTATGTTGTTTTTCTAATTCCTGGATGATGAATCACATTCTTTGATTCTTTTTCCAAACCAGCTTGATTGTCCAAGCCACAGATAAAGGGATGCCCAGGCTTTCTAATACGACTGTAATCAAGGTACAGGTGACTGATATAAATGACAATGCCCCAGCTTTTCTCCCCTCTGAAGCAGTGGAAATTACAGAAGGTAAGTGTGACAATTTGGCATAGTGGTTTTGATTAACTTGTATAATATCATTTACCATTTTCTTTAGCCAGACACTGTATTAACATGAGTGCTAATCCTCAACAACCAAGCAAACTAGATCATTTTTGTCTTCATTTTGCAGAACAAAAAAATGGATGATCATAAGTTAAATATTAAATGTCAAAGGAGTAAAATGTCAAAGCAAGTCCCCATGCTCCAACCATCATCCCTTATAGTATCTGTTTATAATGCAGACATTTCCTACAAATTATATCTACTCTATGAAGAAGCATATTTTGTTGACTGTGATAACCATTGTGAACCTCCTCTAAGAAGAATCAGCATTCATAACTCTGTCAGTCTTTTCAGGATACGAACAACAACTAATTAGTGAAGTGAATTAGATGTTTATTGCACAAAGCCATCATTTTTCCCAGAATAACCTTATCTTCAACGTTTGTACCACACTAATGGTAGAGGTTGAAACTAGAAATTTTTAAGTGAGATGCTGGTTAACCTTCATTATTTGGGTCTGTGGGTTATACAATGGTCCTCTAGTCTGTGGACCCAAAGTTGTCCATGGTCAATGGCTGCGTTGGGGAAACATAACCTAAGTCTTTATAGTTGAAGATGAAAATAATGGTGACCCTCGCTTGCCTCTCTACTTCACTCGTAATACGACATTAATTCCTAAAATGTTTCTAACATTTTATTATGTTCACTTTCTAAACAAATTACAACCATAACCTCTCACAGAGGGAAATATTCCAGACATGTCTATGCATAGAGATATCTACAAATATTACAACCTACAAATAAAATAAATTCTCCAGTTTTGCCTTTTGCATATTTGATATATTTTCATTTGATTTTATTGAAGGATCTATTTTTCAGCACATGCAATTAGTGTTAAAATATAGCAATGGGCCTAATATAAATATATCACAAGAAGAAACTACATAAATCAAAACATACTGAATAGGGTACGGTGTGGTTGGTGCACATTGAGAGTGTTCAAGCTTGAAAATGGAAAATTATGGGTTTCATATACAATGGAACTATTCTGAGCATCTTGGCATATTCTTTCTAGCTGTACCATATCTGTAAGATTAAAAACAAAGTCCCTTTCACGGGCTGTTTAGGCTACAGAACATATGTGGTGAGTGAGGCATTGAACATTTCATCTATTTTGTAATTTTTTGGTGAATAATATTTGAGATTTGCTTTCCTCACTAGTACTATGTAGACTTTGTTTTTCTATAGTCTTAATAATTTTGAGAGTCAGATTTAAGAAAAGGAAGCAGTGTGTGCACCACTCCAAAATAAATAATTGTACAAAAATAAATATAAGGAAATAAGTATCTAATTCGGACATTAGTGCCCAAATATTTAAACCTGGCCTGTTTTTGAAAATGCCATGTTTTGTATTAATGTCCTGAGTAATACCTTTCATCCCATTCATATCCCCCATGAAGATATGATTTTGATACAGAAAGTGTATATTATAAATAAGTGGCTTAGAATGTTTCTTGGTACTGGAATTGTGTTGTAAGCATATAATGAAAATAATGTAATATAAAAATTGAATATACCCTACCTCCTCAATTCCCTACTCAGTGGTAAATTTTCACTTTTATTGGTCTCATAAATTCTTCAGAGTTTTTGTTCAGTGCATAATGAGCTTTGTATGAGAAATCAAGCCAAGAAAGAGCAAATCATATTGGACTTAGAATAAAAATACTTGGATGGAACTACTAAAGAAATGTATTTCAAAGGATGAATTTTAATGGAGACTGACACTGGTCATGACTATTTCAGATTCTTTGCCTGGTGTAATTGTGACTCATGTGTCAGTTCATGATGTGGATTTGAATTCAGCTTTCATATTCAGTTTTGCCAAAGAGAGTAATCCTGGAACCAAGTTTGCTATTGATCAGAACACTGGAGTGGTGGTGTTGGTGAAAACATTGGATTTTGAAGAAATGACTGAATATGAGCTGCTCATCCAAATTTCTGATTCAGTGCACTACACAGAGGGAGCACTTGTAGTCCGTGTGCTGGATGTCAATGATAATCCACCAGTGTTTTCTCAAGATTTCTATCAGGTAAAGGGCTTAAAGAGATGCCGAAACCAAAGCCAAAACTAGAAAGAATAGAGAATAATGTAAGTCTTCCATCGCCGATAGACTAATTCAGATAGACAGCATTCACTGTTTGTAGTGCCTAAGTTAACGCTGCGGGTTTTACACTTAATATCACGGAGTCTATAAGTACATATGGAAATGAATGTCTCATTCGGTTTAGTTTACTACATATGTATTTTTTTTTTTTTTTAGTTTTTAGAGGTTGTAGTCCAGTTTGTCATGACAATTGGAACCTGCCAAATATTTGCAAACCACTGATAAGACTGTTTGCATTATCTGCAGTTAATTTGGGAAAATTCTTTCTTTCATAGGCATATTTTTGGAATGCATTGATTAAAATTTTACAGAAAAAAAATCACGAACAAAACTATAAAGTGGAAATTTTAGCTTTTAGAGCATAATATATGTTTATAGAAGTAAGGGCAAGGATAGCATTCAACTCAATACTTGCAAATGGACTCCAGAACTTTTGAATGTAGCAAATGCAAGATTTAAGTGTAAACACAAGGGGAGGGTAACCTAAGTAATGATCCCCTGTGAAGGCTTGCTTGAATTAATGCCATGCATGTAATGGAATAATATATTAGTGAATGTATTAACTATTTTCTGCCTCATAGAAATAGTTTAGAAGAACTTTTTTTCATAGTAAAAAAAACTGAATAAAATTATTTTTAAAACTTAGTTTTTCTGGCCAGGCGTGGTGGCTCATACCTGTAATCCCAGCACTTTGGGAGGCTGAGGTGGGCGGATCACCTGAGATCAGGAGTTCAAGACCAGCCTGGCCAACGTGGTGAAACCCCATCTCTACTAAAAATACAAAAATTAGCCTGGTGTGGTGATAGGTACCTGTAGTCCCAGCTACTCTGGAGGCTGAGGCAGGAGAATCGCTTGAACCCAGGAGGCAGAGGATGCAGTGAGCTAAGACTGCGCCACTGCACTCCAGCCTGGGCAACAGAGCAAGACTGCATCTCAAACAAAACAAAACAAAACAACACCTTTTTTTCTGAATCCAGGGACTATTCACACAATCTTTTTAATATGCCAATTCCATAAATTAATATGTCTAACAAAGTCAGGTTGTATTGTATGGTTTCCATAATCAAAATGAATAAAATGACCTCATGTTCTGTCCCTGTTGGTGAAAATACCTTCAGCCTTTAAGCACAATGTCCCTATTTTTCTCTTTTTCCCTCAGGTCACAGTTCCTGAATCAATACCTGTGGGGTATTCAGTGCTGACTCTGTCAGCCACAGACTTAGAAAGCAATGAGAACATTTCTTACAGAATTCTATCCTCTTCTAAGGAATTCTCCATTGATCCTAAGAATGGTGAGTTATTTATAATTGCATTAATGCTCATAGGTTTGGGTTTCAAAGTAGAAACCTGAAATAACCCTTTCTAAATGCCTCTATAAAAGTTCCCCACCTCCCCACCCCGCATGGAATTATAAGCACGACTGTTTCATTACTCTTCACATGAAGTGCTGCGATAGCAAATGCCAGTGTTATTTCTCTTCTCCAACATCTCAGTGGCTGGAAAGCAAATGTCACTGTTTAAATGCTGGTAAATGCTCACAAATTCAGAGACCCCAGTATAATAAACACCCAGTTGCATCCGTCCAACCAAGCACAGTTCAGGCAATTATCCCAGGATTCAGCAAGAATCAAAATGATGTTGAAGGGATTAAGTTAGTGCTGAAGACTTCATATTACTAGAGTCTGGATGCTTTCTTCCCAAGCCAAGTTAAAAAAAATCAGTAATAGCATTATATGTTCAATAAGCACAAGAATAATTTTAAAAGGAAAATTATTTAAGCATCTCTACCAACTGGAAACCACTGTGGTGTTTTGGTTTATTTGATGCTTCCCAAGGCTTTTTGTCTTTTTATCAGAGACCAAGACATTCGTGGTTGTGAAATGCCTTCAGGCAAGTGATTCTACATTCAATTAAACAGTATATAGAGAAAGTTGAACAGTGAGTGGACATTTAATTTAATTTAAAAGCTAAATTTTGTAAAGATGAATAAGTAGCAAAACAATGTCCCTAGCAGAGCATACTAGAAAATAACAGGGCCTGGGAGACATCACACTCTGTGTTCCCCATCTCTATCCACCATTGCATCATTTCACAAGTGAGAGTTCATTTAAAAATTAACCTTGGGATTACCTGAAAGGGGAATTTAGTCCCAAAATACCAGCATGAAGCCCACCGGGTGTTGTAAATGGAGAAGTACGTCCTGTATCATGCTGCCTGTGGATGAACGATTACTGCATGATTACAAACGTATCAGGAATTTGGCTCTTCTATTCTTCTCTCTGTATCCCCACCCCACCCCCCCACCGTCTTTTCTCTCTCTGTCTGTCTCTCTTTCTGTAGTCTCAGATGATGGCAACTGCCACCCCGGCCACAGCAAATCACAGTGTGCAAGGCAGTTCTTCTGAGCACTCAATCCTTAGCAACACTTTTACTTGACATGTGCTATTGACAGATTTTGCACTGAGCTATTGATTCAAATATTTTTAAAACATTAAATGTTTAAAACATTAAAGGCAATGTTAAAAACATTAAATGCAATGTTTAAAACATTAAACGCACTAAGCTATTGATTCAAATATTTTTAAAACATTAAATGATGGCCGATTTAGTTCATGGTGGGACTCTAACTGAAACATGGCATTTAAATGTCAGCATTCTGTATTCTTTCTTAGTGACCATCCTTAAGACATATTTATCTTAAAAATGGTTTAACACACACATTTATAAAAATTAAATATTTCTATATTTAGTACAATAAACTTTATCAACTACATTTCAGCAATAAGGGAAACATCGACTTGCATGATCTGTAGGAAAGCCCATCTCTCTAATTAAGCAATAGTATAATAGTAACTCAGCATTATCATTTTTACTGCTTTCATTTGGCTTGAATATCAACAAGTATTTCCAGAATAAGTATCTTTATGCCAGAATATCTTTATACATGTGTTTGTGGGTAGTAGAATGGGGTATAAATTTTACAAACAAAAATATTTTTTAAGAATAGTGGAACAACTTACTATACAAAAACAAAATTCAGAGGAATTTGTGGCAACAGCAACCTCAAGCAGCACACATATTTCACAGAGTGAATGTCATGAATATTATTTCTGTATCTTACATGTTATAAACATATAAATACAATAATTTGTATTTCTATTTGGAGTCATTGTTCATTGTGACTTAACAGATCTAACAAAGAATTAAACACATATTAGTAGACATTGGATAGTCAACTGCCGATTAAATGGATCATCAAAACTGCACCTCACAGTGTTGAAATACTATGTCTTATTTTTCAGGCACAATATTTACTATCAGTCCCGTATTACTTCTGGATACAATATCAACAACTCAATTTCTTGTGGAAGCCAGTGATGGTGGAAATCCTGACCTGAGAGCTCTTACTTTAGTGGAGATAGGAATAGAAGATATGAACAATTATGCCCCTGAATTCACAGTCAAATCCTATAATCTTAGCCTAAGTGAGGATGCTCTGGTTGGAAGCACGCTTGTTACATTTTCAAACATCGACCATGACTGGACCCGTGAAAACACATATGTTGAATATTCCATCATCAGTGGTAATTCACAGAACAATTTTCATGTGGAAACTAAGTTCTTTCATTCAGAATATCCTTATAAGCAAGTCGGTTATCTTGTGTTGCTTCACAGTCTGGACAGAGAAGCAAGTGCTAGCCATGAGCTTGTCATTCTGGCATCTGACAGTGGCTGCCCTCCATTGAGTTCCACAGCTGTCATATCAATACAAGTACTTGATGTCAATGACAATCCCCCAAACTTCAGCAGCCTGAGCTATCACACCCATGTCAAGGAAAGCACCCCTCTAGGGAGTCACATCACTGTGGTCTCAGCAAATGACCGTGACACAGGGTCACATGCAGAAATCATCTACAACATCATCTCTGGAAATGAGAAGGGACATTTTTACTTAGAAGAAAACACTGGAGTTCTTTATTTGATTAAACCTCTGGATTATGAAAAAATGACAAAATTCACCTTAACTGTCCAAGCTTCAGATGCAGAAAAGAAACATTTTTCTTTTGCAGTTGTGTTTGTCAGTGTCCTGGATGATAACGACCATGCACCTCAGTTTATGTTCTCAAGCTTCAGCTGTATTGTTCCAGAAAATCTGCCTATTTCCTCTACCATATGCTCTATAAATGCTCTGGATTTTGATGCTGGTCCGTATGGAGAATTGACCTATTCTATTGTATCACCCTGTTTTCTCACTCATGGAATGTCTTATGATCATGATCTCTTCCTCATTGACCCTTTGACAGGGGATATTCATGCTAAGCAAATCCTTGACTATGAAAATGGCAATAAATACTGCCTCACAGTCCAAGCCAAAGACAAAGGTGATGCAACTGCCTCCTTAGTGGTCTGGGTGGATATTGAAGGGATAGATGAATTTGAGCCCATTTTCACTCAAGATCAGTATTTTTTCACCCTCCCAGAAAAGAATAAAGACAGACAGTTGATTGGCAGAGTGGAAGCCTCAGATGCAGATGCTGGTATTGATGGAGTCATTCTTTACTCCCTTGGAACCTCATCTCCTTTCTTTTCAGTAAATAAAACCAATGGAAATATTTATTTGATTAGAGCCCTTCCCCTAATAAAAAGTCAACTCAACAAAGAAGACACCTTGGAAATGAAAATAATCGCTCATAGTCCCAAATCAGATTCCAAGTTTGCATCTTGCACTGTTTTTGTGAATGTGTCTTTCTCCTCTGAAGGAACACCCTTGGCAGTGTTCGCCAGCAGCTTTTCAATCAGCCTGGTGGTCTCCTTTTTAGTGTTTCTGATACTCATCTGCATTCTAATTGTAATGATTTTAAGACATAAACAAAAAGACACAATAAACAATTATGAGGAGAAGAAAACCTCATCTTTAGATGCGGACTTGAGAGTGACCCGGGATGCCAGTGTGCTCAAAGCCTTCCAGAAAACTGACGACTGCAGTAACGAGGTGGTCCCTGTGGATGCCACTCCGGAATGGTTGAGTTTAATAAGTATCATGGAGAAGGATATTGTCAATCTGTACAGACACTCAAACTCCAGTGGCCACTGTTCTGTGGAAGGAGAAACTGCAGAAGATAAGGAAATCCAGAGGATAAATGAGCATCCCTACAGAAAGTGCTCAGACTCAGCTCTGAGTGACCACGAGTCCAGGGTGCCAGACTCGGGTATCCCGAGGGACTCAGACCAGCTCTCCTGCCTATCTGGGGAAACTGATGTGATGGTGACTGCCGAAACAGCAGAAGCCAGCCAAACATTTGGGGAAGGAGATCAAGGGGAAGGCTGCAGCACCACCTGTGCTCAAAATAATGTGTTACCCCAGACAGTTCAGAAGAGAGAGGCAAAAGAGAGCATCCTGGCTGACGTTAGAAAAGAGTCTGTCTTTATTTCAGGTGATCAGGAAGTAAGGTGTGCAGCTCTTTCAACTCAGACGACCTCTGATCATGATGGAAAAGACAACTATCACTGGAATTATCTTCTTAGTTGGGAGCCCAAATTCCAACCTCTTGCCTCAGTATTTAATGATATTGCAAAACTAAAGGATGAACATTTGCATATGCCTGGCATTCCAAAAGAGAAGAAATCTTTTGTTTTTCCACCCCCTTTGATAACAGCAGTAGCCCAGCCTGGGATTAAAGCAGTCCCACCAAGAATGCCGGCAGTAAACCTGGGGCAGGTGCCTCCGAAACACCCACGCTCTCCCATCCCCTACCATCTTGGTTCTCTGCCAGAAGGCATGACTCCCAATTTTTCTCCATCTCTTTCCCTATTGACGATGCAGCCTCCTGCCTTGTCTCCACTGTTGAGAGAAGGAGAATTATTAGGAACACACATCAGTGGTACATGCCATGAACTTAAAGCAGAAGATGAAGTTCAAATATGAAACCACTGGGATGCCAAGTACCTGCTCACCATTGGTCATGAATGAATGAACAAAATGTTTTCAAGCCAGCAACTCGAGATTGGGCTCATTTTTATCTAAAAGCAAGTGATGTAATTTAGTTAGAGTTTTTAAAACTTCCCCATTAAAGTTTCTCCAATTTCTTCCAGCCTTAATGAAAAGTTATTTCCTCTTTTAATCCTTATGTGTTGCTCTCAGGACTCACATTTGTATATATTAAGTAGTGTATATTCTGTCAGACCTGTTGTCTGTATGATTAGACTTCCAAAGGACACAGTGAACTTAACTGACTGCCAGAATGTTTATATGGAAACAAAATATAGTGTACTCTGGTCACATTGCTGCTGATCACACTGCTATATCAAAAACAAACTAGTAAAGGCTAAATGGAGAATGAGTTTAGGTCAGAACATATAGCAGAGAGGGGAAGTCTAGAGGAATAAACTTTCATTTTAAGATAAAGCAATAGTTGGTGGATCTGATATATTTAGAGGAGTATTTCTCCATTTTTCCCCATATACCACACCTGTAGAGTTTAGCCATAATTGAATTTCAATGTGGAGTCTTTTGGAAAACTAATAAAAAATTCAGAAGGAAATTTGTCATAACTCTGTGACAATAGGGAGAAACAAATAGGATTTATAATGATAGGTAATATAAATAATTATTCATGATTCAATAAACCAGAAATGCATGTTCCTGATAGAGGGCCAGGATTGATACTCGCAATATTTATGTGGTTTGCTACCACCTGAAACATATTATCTTGGCCTTCTTTACAAACAGAATGGCTTTTTTTTCAGGTCTTGTCTTATAAGTAGGTGTGGGTAAAGACATTAAACTTCAAAGGTTAATTTATAGCAATGTCTTCATTTTATTTTCTTCTAGATACAGTAACTTTTTTGTGTGAAATAATTTATCCACTCAATGTCAGTTTTTAAAATTTGTGTAGATAAAAATCATGTCATTAGCTAATGATAAATCTCATAGAGTAATTTAGCAATATATTTTTAAATGAAGTTTTTTATGGAAATGTTTCTACTATAAAAGTTAAGAATAGAAGTCAGAAGTCTTTTTACCATTTGCTCACACACTTGCAGCTTTAATTTAACTGTCATTAGATGGAGCAGTTTGGCACATGGTTAAAATGACTCTGTACAATTACTATTTTAGAAATATAGCAGTGCTAGATGGTGCTCACATACAATGCTCTAGCCTTCTTTCTGATAAGCCTGGGAATCCCTCACAGATTCTCATCCCTTTCAGGAAGGTGGACAGCATCCTGACGATGGTGGTTCAGAAGTCCTCTTCCTGTGGTCAGCATGAGGGCCAGGTGTTAGGCTAACAGTTTAGGAATTCTAATGTGAAATCTAAAGGGTATCGTGTGGCTTTCTTAGTAGTTAGGATGGGCTTCTACTACAGATATAGTTCCTTTGTGTTCTTCTTCCATAGGCCTCATCTGTGAAATTTTGTGACATAATTTCTCTTTACTAAAAAATATTGCAAGGTGCAGTGTTTGATGTCTGGTTTTGTAGATAAGTAATTCTACAGCTTCCTATGCTGATATTTTCTATTATCTATCTATGCTGACTGAGATTGGGAACAAATGTATAAAGCTATATTACAAATTGTATGAAACATGAAGGTTTTTGAATAAGCCTGAAATCCTAGGAAAAATCCTTTAGGAGTAGAAAATTTAAATACTATGGGACTGATATATGATGTTTCTCCTTTTCTTCCTGGCATCTGGGGAAGAAGATTTCATGACTTATGTAAAAAAAAAACCCACACATATTTAATCATTTATGTGTTCCAGTATTTATTATCTCTGACTCTTTTGAAAACATTGCTTTGAGCATAGAAAGAAACCCTATACTATATTTTCCTAATTATATATGGAAGTTTTCTTTTCACAATAGAATTATTTCTGGAAACTAAGAACATTTTGTTGTTTTTAATTAAACAGGTTCTTCATTTACTTATGCTTAAAAAGAGTTATTCATCTACCTATTCCCTAAGTTAGTTATTTATTACTGTGATTTATTTACTCATTATGGATGTGATTCTGTATGTTTTCTAGCCATTGCATAACAAGAGAAGACATGTAATAGAGCTTTTTTACCAATATTTAATGGATTTTTAATTGATGGGTTTATCAGTCTGTATCCAGTGCCACAATGCCACCAAACAAGTACTACAAGTGGGAATGGGGTTAAAAATGTGAACACGCTGGTTAAGTGTTTGCAATAAATCGTATGTCAGCTCTTTCAACTAGAGTGCTTTTTTTCCTAAGTAAACAATATAATTTGTACATTTTTCCTTCAAGTTTAATATTAACTTGCCTCATATGTTCTGGGTTACTTTGCTGATCTATGCACTGGCTTTAGCACTCTGGAGGGGGTACAGAACTTGTTAGTGGAAAATCATATTAAGCCCCAAATTCATAAGCTATAAAATAAAAGACAGTTGTCTCTTGTGGAATTTTGGCTGCCTGATGAAATTCTGGACTTTCTTGTTGGCAGCCTTAAAAATACTGGTGTAAATCAGTACCAAATGGATATCAAAATTCCATGTCCTAGTAGTAATCATTGAATTGGCTTCCAAAACAGATTCCTGGGCAAAGAAAAAGAAAAATGCTGTATCTTTAGGGATTTGATCATTTAACTCTTTTAAAAATTATTAAAATGCACTCTACATTACTGGCTGCCTCCATGTATTCATATTCAATCTATAATAGACGTCCAGTTGAGACAGGATTTGTGTTTCTCAGCACCTTCACCTTTAGCCCTCCTTGCTGTGTTTTCTAGAAGTTATAGCAATGAAAATTAATTGTAAATTTTAGTTATTTTCATCCAAACAGACACTTTGTTACTTTTGTTCTGCCATTCTATACATACCTTAACTTTAAAAAGCAAGACATAACTAAGGATCTAAGATAATCCACTTCAAAGCAATAAAATATATGGCGTTAATATGGTCAGTGTATTCTCACGTGATATTCCAGATAAGCAAATTGAGTTTATTTTCACAGCGTGTTTTACTTGAGCTCAAAGGTATAGAGACATCTATTTGGCCATAACTGAAGGAACTTAGAATGGAAGATGGTCCTGTACAGGAGGGATACTGGGATCCAGTGGAGTTGCAGAAGATTTGCTTAGGACCCAAACGAAGCATTTCAGTGGGAGTTTTTACCCACTATAAAGATGGAAGGAGAAAAGTGAAAGAGGAAGGGAGGGGGAGAGGCAGGCAGGGACAGAAGAGAAATAGACAATTAAATCTTAAAATGAATAATTAGGACACAAGTAGAGAAATACAAGAAAGTAGATGGGTAGGGACTTTTAAAAAGTAATTTTTAGTGTATGAAGATTTTTCTGAGTCATTTGCCCTTCACAGATTCATCCTTTTGAAGAATCTCTTTTCCTCCTTCCTTTGTGTTCCTCTCAAATCTCTCTCTCCATTGTCTGACAATTTAGATGTATCAAGCTGTGAATTGAAAGCTAGATGATAATGAATGAGAATACATTTGACCATGAAAACTTGCATTTATTGTGTTTTTTTGGGGTGAATTTCAGAACAAAAGTAGGAATGATTACCGTATTTCCCACTCTACACTGGCACTGAGAATGCCACAGTTTTAAGTAGTTGCTTTTATTCACATAAACAAATAAATGGACATTCAGAAGACAGTGGGTCAGAATGTGGAATTTCATTACCTAATCTTTTTCCTGATGGCCAGTCCGTTTTTAAAATGAGTGCACGCTTGACAGTTGTGAGTTTATGTTAAAATATTACATTTTATATCACTTTTAAACCACAGTATAAAATAAGACAAGGGCATGGTCAACAGTTTGTTCTCAAACATTGTCAATTTTATTTGAATTCTGGTGCATAAATTATTCATAAATTAAATTGTTCCATATAGATCAAAGAAATTTGTCTATTAGAAACAGAATGTGGCCATCTTAGAAAGATCCAGCCTAAAGTGGCTGGAGTATCAAACTATACCTTTCTCTTATAAACTCAGAACTTGGCTATTTGATGACAATTAACACTTCCTACTGTTTTGGTCTACATATCTTTATTCATTTCACCCAATGCATTTGCTAAACCAAAACTGTGAAGTGAGTAATAGAGAGGGGAAAGGCATGCCAAATAAATAGCAGATGCACAAGTACATCTCTTGAATGAGAAAGCATTATTTTGGTTAGAAAACTAAATAAATGGATTTCGTTGTGAGATTATAAACCCTCAGGGTCTGTCTCCACTTGCATTATGAGGTACAGATGGTTTTTAGAATGAATGAGTACATATGTGAACGGGCACAGAGGATGCTGTAATGCAAGGATGTGACACATAGCCTTGAACCCATTAGGTGAGAATGCTACAATAGTTCTGTGATTTTAGCCAGTCACAAAGCAGAGAGAAAGTAAGTTTAAACATTATATCAAAATATTATAGAATATCTTATAAAATGCCAAAGGAATAGTAATTTCTTCTGTAATCCAGTTTGGTTTTTTTCCTTCTCTCTGCCTTCCCCACAATATACATGTATATCTTGTGAAGTTTAGACATAAGAGAAACAAGCTATATATGACATTCAAAAGCATATTGTTTGAGACAGCAACATGACATGACCAAGCACATTGGTTTAATTTAATTTCTGATCTCATAATAAACTGTAACTGCCCTATAGCAGAATGGCAGAATGAAGTTCTATCAGTATGATAACAAAATGCAGTTCAGTAGATATGCCTAGAATATTTACATCAAAATGTATCAATATTTAAAGTACAAACAACATAAGGAATTTATGAGGGATATTCTATATGTGCATATACTTAGTGTGTGTCAAGGGTAACATTTTAAACAAATATAGATTAGATTATCTCATAAGTGTGTGCCAGGTTATTAGGGAAGGGAGTAAATATGAAATTTCTCCTCACACCATAAACAAATAATTCTCAGAAAAACCAGCCGAGTGAGATAGGATAGAAAGACAGTGTAGTATGATGTCTCTCCAAAACCAAATAAAGGAAGTGATTTAGGTTTTAGTCAGGGCAACATGGCAGCATCAGTGCAGACTTTTAAACCATCCCAATTCCCCTTACAAAATGGTTAGAGCATCTAGAATAGTAAAAGTAAAACCTCATGGTTATCTTCAACAAACACAAGGATCATTCTTACAAATTCTAGAATATGGATAGGCAAGAAAAATTACCAACTATTGGCAGTAACAGAGAGGAGAAAGGGGGAACTTCCAACTTTCTGTGAGCTGGAGTACCAAGAATCCACAAGTACTCACCTACTAAAGCAGAAGTCTGCTCTTGGATGGAAACCTAGCAGGCAGGTCTGAGAATAATTGCCAAAACTAGAGAGAGGTTACAGAGCAGCAACTCTGTAGATGGGTGTAGAAAAACTAAAGTGAAATCAGATTATGCAGGGGCACTCAAGTTCCAGAGCCTCTGGAAATAGTCAACCAAAATTTCCTTCTGTAAGAAGAGAACCCCACACTAAGTAAAGTCTACTGAAAATAGAATTCAAATCTATATAAATAGAAAATGGAGAGAAGTCCTAGATATAAAGGAGAGAAGGGACCAGAGAAAACAGAAGGTACAAAGAGGTCCTATTTGTAAATATTTTGCAGAAACAAAAGAAGAAGGGGTCTTAAAGCCATGCATGAATCTAGGAAGGCTATTCTGGTCTGCTACCACCCCTACATTATAACCCCTAAAATATAATATAATCCATCTCAATAAAACGTGAGCAACAGAAAATAATTTCAGAATAAAATGTCTTGTAAGCAAAGACATTTTATTTCGTACATGCGCTGACTGACACAATAATGAACAGTGAAGATCCACTAGAAAAATATAGCAAAAAGGCCAATAAAAGTTTTTTTTTACTTAATATTTCAAAACCAGCTAAAGAACATTAGAAAAATAATAAAAACTGTAAAGGTTGCATAATCAATCAGACAAGGCAAAAATTAAAAGGCTAACCAAGAGGAGGATACTAAAAGAAAGAAAACAGAGCTCAAGAAATAATTGAGGATCCTCCATACTGTTCTCCATAGTGGAGGTACCAATTTACATTCTCACCAACATTGTAGAGGGTTCCTCTTTCTCTGTTCCTCAAAAAACAAAAACATAGAACTACCATGTGATCCAGCAATCCTATTGCTAGGTATATATTCAAAACAAAGGAAATCAGTACATCAAAGAGATATCTTCACTCCCATGTTTATTGCAGCACTACTCACAATAGCCAAGATATGGAATCAACCCAAGTGTCCATCAGTGGATGAATGGATAAAGAAAATGTAGTACAGGTAGATGCACAATAGAATATTACTCAGCCATAAAAATAGAATGAAATTCTGTCATTTGCAGCAACATGGATGGAACTGGAGGACATTATGCTAAGTGAAATAAGCCTGACACAGAAAGACAAATATTGAGGTTCTCACTAACATGTGGGAGCTAAAAATTACTAAACTCATGGAGATAGAGTAGAATGATGGTTACCAGAGGGCGGGAAGGGTAGTGGGGAGGGGAGATAAAGAGGGCATGGTGAATAGATACAAAAATACAGTTAGATAGAAGGAATAAGATTATTTCAAAATAACTGAAAGCATAAAATTGGAATGTTCCTAACACGAAGAAATGATAAATGCTTGAGGTGATGAATATCCCAGTTTCCCTGATTTGATCATTATGCATTATATGCTTTTATCAAAATATCACATGTACCCCATAAATATATACAACTATACAACTAGTATCTGTAATAATTAAAAATAAAAAAGTGTAAACAAAAAATTGGAAATGAGAGAAAAAATTCAGAAGACTAAACTGGAAAGAACAAAAGTAAATAAACACCAATGAAAATACAGTAAGAGAAATAGAAAATGGAAAGGAAAAAAATATTAAAAATCAAATGGAACTGAAAATATGGTAAATTAATGCCATATGATAAATATGATAAATTATACCATATGTCATAGACATATGTGTATACATATATATATACACACACACAACATAATATATATACATATGTCATAGAGAAGGCTATGAGTATGTAAGACCTCAAGGAACATTTTTCAAGAATCAAGTAGAAAATGAGTTTCAGACAACTGGGAAATACTGGGGCAGGTTCACCATAAGGCCACTAAAGATATTTAACTGTAGAGGTGATGGTGGATATAAAGGTGATAGAATAGTATATGCTTAATATATGCCCTGATCATCTGAATAAATTTTAACTACAAAAATGAGAGAAGAAAGGTAGAGTATATGGAAATAGAATGCTTTCTAATTGCCTGATAGGTATTAACTGGGAGTAACAGCTATTGCCATAAATTAGAAAAATGAAGAAATTAGAAGAAAAGAAATATTAAAGTTAAAAAATTAACAAACAAAAAACTCAGAATTTATGAATAAATAAATCTTGTTCCCTAAAAATCAATAAAATTAAATAAATTAAATGTGAGAAAGTAAAAAATAATAGCATACATAATAAGAAAGAGCAAAGAGAGGATAATGAGAGCCACCAAAGAGAGGAATTAACATCAAAAGAGACTTTTCTGCACAACTATATAGAAATTTATTGAAATACTTAAAAATGCATTTTATAGGAAAATTTAATTTACTAAAATTGATCTCAGTAAACATAGAATCTAAATGGACCAAACTTAAAAGAAAAAAATAAAGATATAAAGAAGCACCCTCGCAAAGTTTCAGAGTGACATCTTAAAAATCCTTTAAATCCTAGATCATCCAAATGCTATATAAACTATTCCAAAGCATGAAAAAATAAGGAAAATATTTAAAATCTTTTAATGAATTGAATGTAGAATTCATATCAAAATCTTAAAAATTGTACAAAATAGAAGACTATAGACTATTCCCACTTATAAATAGGTATGCAAAATTCTAAAATAAAATATTAGCAAAAAGAATTAATAGCATATTTTAAAATAATACCTCACAACATGTAGGATTTATTGCATAAACACAAAATGATTCAATATTAAGAAAACAATCAATGTAATTCACATTAATAGAGCTGTGGAAAAAAAATAAGAACATTTTCTTAAATGGCAAAAAGGCACTTAACAAAACCCAATACCCAGTGATGCAAAAAGCACTCAATAATCGTCAATGATTAATCCTTAAAATCGTCATTTTAAGTATCATTTAAATTTTAAAATCATTATCATCCTTAAAATGATATTTAATCCAAAAGCCAGATCTTCCCCAATGGAGATACTCTAGATTCTTTCTGGTGAAAGGAAGAACAAGACAACATGCCTAGTCTCTCTGCCAAAATTTAATGTTATATTGTAGAAATTAGTCCATACAAGTAGACAAGACAGCAATTAGAAACATCAGAGTTTGAAAGAATAAGGTGAAACCATCTCGATTGGTACACTATGTTATTTTTCTGGAAAGCTCAAAATAATTGATGGAAAACTACCATAAACAAAACAAATTAGTAAAGTTGCAAGATATAAAATAAACATGCAAGAAATTACATCACTACTCTTTACATATATGAATAACAATCAGTTAGAGGATGAATGAAAGAGAAGATTCCATTTACAATTTAAAATACCTAAGCAAAAACTTCACCCAAAAAATGTCTAACTTCTATGTGAGGAAAATTATATCTCCTGAAGTGCATAGAGTAAACTCGAGTAGATGTTTTTGAATAGAAATAGTAAATGTTAGAAAAATGCCAGTTGTTCCTAAGTAAATTTACAAATTTAACCTTATCTTAATATACATATTATATTTTTTTCTGGAGTTAAAGAACTTGATTATACTGTTTATTTGGAAGCATAAACAGACAAGATAACTGGGAAACACTAAAAAGAGCTGTGTGTGTGTATATGCATGTGTACACAAACATGCACTCATGCACTAACCCTATCAGATAACAAATGTATTATTAAAGCCTCGATAATTAAAACAGGGTGGCAATAGGGCATGACTAGATAGACTAATGGAACCGAATAGAAAATACAAAAATGGATCCAAGTGCATGGAAGGCTTCCTGTAATGATGAATTAGGTTGTTGTATACCAACCCCACCACTGAGAATAAGTACAAAAAGCTGGGTAATTAATAAAAAGGAGGAGGGACAGAGGAGGAGTGGAAGCTAGAGGTATAAGAGTAGAAGGAAAAGGAGAAGAAGAAAAAGAAACAGTTTTGTGTACGTGTGTTTGTATGTGAAGCATCAGAGAACCACCAAGGCAGTTAAGACTTGAGATGCCATGCTCCTGGAAAGATGAGAAACACAGAGAGGTAAACCTAATAGTACACTGTGCCTCTAACACCCTTGAGGCTGAGCAGCAATGTCAACTGCAAGGTGAAGTAGCTACACAGAACTATTGGCAATTTTTTGGGGACAAAAATTAGAGTTAAGGGTTGTAAACCCAAACGTATCTGAGACAGGCATCAATCAATTTAGAAAGTTTATTTCACCAAGGTTAAGGACATGCTCATGACACAGCCTTGAAAGATCCTGATGACATGTTCCCAAGGTGCTTGTGGTACGGCTTGCATTTTTATACGTTTTAGTGAGACATAATACATCAATCAATGCATGTAAGATGTACATTGATTCAATGTGCAAAGCAAGACAACTCAAAGTGGGGGTTCCCAGGTCATAGGAACAGTTAAAGATTTTGTGATTGGCAATTGCTTGAAAGAGTGAAATTATCTAAACACCTGGCATCAGTAGAAAGGAATGTCTGTGTTACAATAAGGGGTTGTGGAGACCAAAGTTTTATCTTTCAGCTGAAGACTCCAGGTAGCTGACTTCAGAGAGAATAGACTGTAAATGTTTCTTAACAGACTTAAAGTCTGTGTTGATGTGAATGTTGGTTGGCTTTTCCTGAATTCCAAAAGACAGGAGGTAAAATTAGGCATGTCCAACTCCCACTTCCTATCATGGCCTGAACTAGTTATTCAGGTTAACTTTGGAATGCTGTTGGTTGAGAGGAGGAATTCATTCAGATAATTGGGGTCTT
Source organism: Homo sapiens (assembly GCF_000001405.40). NCBI lineage: Eukaryota > Metazoa > Chordata > Mammalia > Primates > Hominidae > Homo > Homo sapiens. The sequence goes on along the minus strand of NW_017363814.1, from coordinate 152,110 downwards.
AGAATTTTATTTCTGATTTGCTTACCAAGGAGGCAGGCCTTTGATAAATATGCCAGCCTGTAAGTTGGAAATCCTAGAAAGCTACACCTCAGGAGCAGAGGTAAACTAGAAAAGACAAGCTCTCACAAAGTATATTGCCAAGTTTCAAATAAAATCAATCACGTATTTGAGTCTGGTAATCTGTCACTACTCTAACTGCCTGCCAAAAATAATATTTAGACCTCTATAGAAGATAAAATCATTCAGAGCATTTGTGATTATTCACAACAATGTCCAGCATTCAATCCAAAATTGCTAGAGATACTGAGGAAAAGCCCACATGACCAGAGCTAATATATATATATATATATATATATATATATATATATATATATATACACATAATATACATAAATACATAATAGAAACAGGCAACAGGAAGTTCATGTATTGCATTATCCCACGTGGACTTTCAAATAGCTGTTCAAGAAATTAGATGCCATAATAGAGAATATCAGGAGAGAACTGAAAACTATTCTTTTAATGAAAAAGAAATTCCAAACTATAAAATACAACTGCCACTTCACACCTACTAAGATAGCTATAATAAAAAGAAAGATAATAACACGTGAGAATTAGTGATGATATGGAGAAATTGGAACTCTCATATACTGCTGATGGGAATGTAAAACGGTACAGTCTGTACGGAAACTGTCCAGGAGGTTCTCAAAAAGTCAAATCATAATACTCTGCAATTCCATTCCTAGGTGTATATCCAATAGAAATAAAAGTTATGTTCATATGAACATTTGTCCGGGAATGTTTATAGCAATATTATTTATAAAAGCCAAAAAGTGGAAACAACCCAAATGTCAATTAACTGATGAATATATAAACCAAATGTGGTATATCGATAAAATTGAGTATTATTCAGCAAAAATAAAGTACTGACACATGCTGTAAGACAGATGAACTTGAGAAAAATTATGCAAAGTGAAAAAATCCAGTCACAAAAGATCACGTATTTTATGATTGTTTATGTGTAATTTCCAGAAAAAGCAAATATATAGAGACATAGAAAGCAGATTAGTGGGGCTCAGAGGTTGGAGAGTTGGGAGAAGACGGTGAATGACTGCTAATGGGTATGGGTTTTCTTTTTTGATAATAAAAATGTTATAAAATTAATTGTAGTGGTGGTTATATGACTCTGTGAATTTACTAAAATCTATTGATTGTACACTTTAAATAGGTGAATTATTATATGATGTATGATTTATATTATATATGAATTATATATTAATAAATGAGTTAAGATACAGTAACTGAAAATTAAGAACTCAATGTTTGCATTAGATTAGACACAGATAAAGAGAGGATTAGTAAATTAGAAAATATATCTAATGAAAATATACAGACTGAAACACAGAGAGATGTTTGGAAAATACTGTAAAGAAAATAAGGGATGAGTGGAACAAAATAAAAAGATCTAACATAAACCTTAATTTATTACACACAGATTCTATGTGTAATTGGAATCTCAAAAAGAGAATGGAGATAATGGGCCAGCAGAAATATTTGATAAGATAGCAGCTGAGAATCTTTCAAAACTGACATTTAATCACAATTTTGTAAGTGCTACACACCACAGACATGATAAATAAAAAGAAAACCATAACCAAGCACATCACAGCAAAATTGCTGTAAAACAAAATAAAAATATCTTAAAAGCATTCAGAGAGAAATGACATATTATCTTCAAAGAACTGAGTGCATATGGAAATATAACACATGATAAAGGCCATACATTTAAGAAAAGAGGAATTTTTAAATCAGTGTGGTTGATGTAACTGGAGAGTTTTATGAAAAAAGATCAAACTGATTCATACCACACACCAGGATAAACTATACAAATAAATATAAGTAAATACTACAAGTAAACCCAAGTGCATAATTTAATAAACTGGGAATAGGAAAATATTTTCTTTTTTTTTTTTTGAGACAGAGTTTCACTCTTGTTGCCCAGGCTAGAGTGCAATGGCTGGGATTACAGCATGTGCCACCACGCCTGGCTAATTTTGTATTTTTAGTAGATATGGGGTTTCTCCATGTTGGTCAGGCTGGTCTTGAACTCCCGACCTCAGGTGCTCCAACTGCCTCGGCTTCCAAAGTGCTGGGATTACAGGCGTGAGCCACCGCACCCAGCCAATATTTTCTAATAAACTCAAAATCCAGAAGCAATAACAGAAATTGGTGACAAATTTGACTAAAAAATATTTTGTATGGCAAAAACAAACTCTAAATCAATTACAATATTCAGGAGGATGGGTTCTCTGGCCTCATGTCAATCTTGTGATGTGAAAGGTTGGGTCATGTGATTGGCAAGCACTTGGTGGAGAAAGGCCAGTTCCTCAAAGGAACATACTTCTGTCACTATAACACCATCAATTCGATACTATTTTTATCTTGCGTGTTCACTTATAACACAGATTTGTAAGTATACCTGGCTAAACCATGAATTCACCAGTTTTAAGTGCTATTGCACAGAGCAGAGCATAAGAGTAAAGCCTCATAATGTTAGTAATTGAATCTGCAGGTCATCTCTAAACTTGGCTTTTAATTTTTATTTCTCATTGCCTTATCTATCATTTTTAGTCTGTCATTCATTTTTCTCTTCAGCTAATATAATGGAAATAATTTGCCTATTGTTAGAATATTAAAGTAATCTTCAGCAATGAGACACAAGCAAATAGACTTTGATTATGAAGTTCAACTTTTTCTGATTTAATTTATTTAAAAGTATAGCTTCTATTTTTATCTAAAAATTATGGAAAACCCCTATCCTAAATGTTAATTACAGGAAGCATATGTGGTTAATTTTATGAAATGGACAAATTGAAAGTAATGAAAATAAAAGCTTCAGATTATTGTCAGATTATGTATCACATAAAAGATAATATATTAACCTTTGTGAACTTAAATAAATAATAGCTAAATTTTATTGAGTGTTTGTTATGTGCCAAATCTGGTGCTAAATGTTTTAAGTGTAGTATATTTTGTTTAATCTTCAAAATAACCCTTCAGGGTAGGTACTAATAGGGTCCCATTTTATTAATAAGGAAACCATGGCTAGTAATTGGTGGAACCTGGACTCCAACTCAGTGGTGTGACTGGAAGCGCTTCTCTTAACCCCTTCACTACATTGTCTTAAAGTGTGTCTTTTACACACTTGAAAGCACCTTAGGAAGGTCTAATTTTTAAAACAATAAACTTATAGTGGCCCTAAGTTATTCCATTTTGTGCTGATATAAAGAACACTTGAGAAGGGGCAATTTATAAAGAAAATAGGTTTATTTGGCTCATGGTTCTGCAGGCTGTACAAAAAGTGTGGTGCCAGCATCTGCTTCTGGTGAGGACTTCAAGAAGTATCTAATCATGGTGGAAAGGGAAGGGAAGTGGCATGTCACATGGTGAAAGAAGGATCAAGAGAAACGGGGAGGAGGTGCCATGCTTTTTTAAACAACCAGCTCTGTGTGTACTAACAGAGCAAGAACTCACAGGGACGGCACCAACCCATTCATGAGGGATCCACCCCCATGACCAAACAGCACCCACTGGGCCCCACCTCCAACATTAGGGATCACCTTTCAACATGAGCTTTGGACAAATATCCATTGTATGTCAGACCCTGTTTTAACAATTCTTTGGTATGCACAGATCATGTTCAACAAATGATAAATAAGCCATATGACCACTGGGCAGATATTTCCCTTGTGTTTGAATCTATAGTCATAGTGAATTCATAATTGAAGGATTATTCTGCAGACACATAAATATAATTGTTCTGATTCCCACCTTTTCTTACACACAAAGAAAGTCACGTTTAAAATAGAACTGATGACTTTTCTGGCCAAAATGGCTCCAAAAGTTCATATATTGCTTCAGTTTTCACTGCAGAAAAATAGCAACAAGAGATAAAATGCTTAAAGCACAAATAAAAGTAAAAATGGCATAGGCAAATTAAAACACAAGAAAATCATCTCCATGGCAATATCTAGTAAAGTTGAAGATATCTTAGAAAGTGGGATAATTTCATTTCTTGGTATGTACTCTAGAGAAAAATCTCCCAAGATATTGAACAAGAAATGAGCCGTGTGCAAGGCTGAAGTTTGGGCCCGGTCTACTGCAGGAAGTAGGCATTGCTAGACATGGACATTTTACATTTATGAAGGAAAGTGCTTAAAATGCTCTTTGCAAGATGGGGAACATAGCTAAGCTAAGCACTTAAAACCAGAAGCAGGTTAGGGCTGCTGAGCTCCCTCCTCCAAAAAGGATAGAACAAGATAAGTTGCTGACCACCTGGGAACTTGAGAACCTGGATAGACACTTGATCTCATGAATAAGAACTAAGTCAATCTGCCCATGACTTAAGGATCACTTCTATTACTATTTAAAAGTGTACCAATAGCTGTATATAATAGTAGAAAAAAAAAAAGGAAGGTAGGCAGGCAGTCAGGAAGGAAGGAAGGAAGAAAGGAAGGAAGGAAGGAAGGAAAGAAAGGGTGGGAGGAGGGAGGGAAGGAGGGAAATTTGGGGAAAAAAAATCTCAACAGTCCATATTTATAGACAATATCACTATCTAGACATCTATTCTATATGTAAACTATTAGAACTAACAGATAACTCATAACATTTGTGAATACAAGATCAATATCAAATATCTTTAACACCTCTATATACAATCAAATGGAAAATGTAATAGAAGAAAATCTCATAATCTCATTCACAATAACAAGGACTATAAGGTGTCTAAGAATAAATCTAACAACATTTTGAAGATCTTTTGGAAAAAAATTTTAAATTATTATTTTAGTAAATAAAATACCTAATTAAATGATGATATATAGTGGAAAGTAATACTCAATAATTTAAATGTGATAATTCTCTATGAATTCATTTATAAACTCAATGCAATTTAATCAAAGGGCCATCTGGATTTTTGTGGAATTTGACAATACTATTTAAAAGTTAATACAGAAGAATAAAGGTAAAAGAACAATGAAGACAACTTTGAAGAAAAAAGAAAGGATAGGAGGATCCTATGAGATAGAAAGAGATGAATAGATTAGAGTAGCCTAGAAATACACACCTGTGTGGAAATTTGATATGGAGATAGCTTAGTAAATAAAGAGAGAGTGTATAATTTAATAAATGGTGCTGAATTATTATTTTTATAAAAAGAAAATGAAATTGGATCTCTTCATCACATATGAAATTAAAATTAAATTTTAAACTTTGAGATTAAAATATAGGAGAGTATCTTTATAGTCTTAGAGTAGGAAAGACTTTGTTAAACAAAATACAAAAACACAAGAAAAGATTCATAAATTACTTTAAAATTAAGAAGTAGTGTTGAAACAATCATGCTATACAAAGTTATAAAAGAATCCACAACCTAGAAGAAGGCATTTACAATATACGTCATGAAAAAAAGCCTTAATATCCATAACCTTTATTAGGTTGGTGCAAAAGTAATCACAGTTTTTGCCATTGAAAGTACCAGCAAAAACAGCGATTACTTTTGCAACAACCTAATAACAAATTAGTAAGAAAGTGCTAGCTTAATAGATAAATGAACAAAGAAAAAATACAGAAAAGGAAATTTGTATAGTCAATAAACATATACACGTTCAATGTGATACAAGTACACAATGGTGCTCACCACTGGGAAGACAGGAGCATGTGGTCTTCAAATGTGGTTGTAATATTTTATTACTTTTAAAGATCTGAAGCAAATCTGGCAACATAGTAAGCTTTCACAGAGCTGAGTAGTTGGTAGTATTTTTCAAATAAAAAATAATGATTACAAGTATCAATATCAAATAAAAAGATTTTACTTTAAAACTTGGCTGCTTCTAAATTCATATTCATACTGCTTACTTAGGAAAACTAACTTGTCTTCTAAAAGAGTGTTTTTCCTATGCAAACTGTGGCAATGAATCTTTAAGCATTTAAGTGCTGTGGAAAATTTTTTAGGCATATGCTTTAATCAGCATCCTCTGCCAATGAGTTTTCTTTTCTTTCACATTACAAAGAATGTCAGTAGTGAATGCAATCATGTAACTCTACAACATTACTAGGGGTGAACCACAGAACCTGAGAACTGTTGGGGTTTTTAAAATACACATTTTAACTTTGAGCAAAAGAGCCCCTTGTTTCTGTGATGAATGAGATGTGGCATTTTCTGATTGGCAAGTGACCCATAGAAAGCACACAGAGAATGATCATGTCACCATTCAACTTCATAATTAAGTGTAGTTTTGTTTGTGGCCTTAATTGCATTTGTTGGAAGCTGAGTCCTTGATTTCTTAATCATGTCTACATTTTTACTTGCCTAGGTAAAAATGAATAAGAAGAGGAGGTATGTCTCCAAAGAAGTATAAGTTTGGGAGATTTGTTTGGTATAGATAAGCAGGGTGTTTATCCTATTACTTAGCTGACAGAGTTCTCCCAGGGAAAAGCTGAGTCTTTGTATCATCTGGGCATTTAATGATGACTGAGAATTTGTCCTTCTAGCTAAATGCTGCCAATGTGATATTTCTCCCTTAACTGCCTTGCCTCTATTAATAAATGGGCCAATTTAAGTGTCTAGGTCCTTGACATATCTTTACATATACAGATGTTGCATCCTAGCACAATTATGACTGACATCTTCCTGCCAGAATAAAATAAATAATTTAGCACCTTGGGAGGCCGAGGCGGGTGGATTATGAGGTCAGGAGATCGAGACCATCCTGGCTAACACAGTGAAACCCCATCTACACTAAAAATACAAAAAATTAGCCGGGCGTAGTGGCGGGCACCTGTAGTCCCAGCCACTCTGGACGCTGGGGCAGAGAGAATGACGTGAACTCAGGAGGCGGAGCTTGCAGTGAGTGGAGATCACGCGACTGCACTCCACCCTGGGTGACAGAGCGAGACTCTGTCTCAAAAAAAAAAAAAGAAAAATGTACATGACAGCACTTTGTATGCTGAAAACTGTTTCACAATGGTAACCTAACAATCCTGGAAGTAGAGAAAAGACAAACACAGATTTAGAGTCATATTTTTGTAACTCCACGTCCCGTTCCTTTAAAGGAAAAGAGATGTTTAGTAGTTACTGTCTCTTTGAGCATAAAGCTTCCTTCAAGGAGAGACAGGCAGAAGAAAAGGGTATGGTATTCACTATGGCCAAGCAAGCCCCAGTTTTCTCAGGAGAGTGAAACTATTGCAAGCCCACAAGAAGTGTCTGGCAACAAGTGGGTTCCTGGTGTATACTCATGGTCATTCCAAAAGCACAATCACACACTGATGACTATGTGGGACTGGGAAGAGGAGGAGCCCATCCCCAGCATCCTTTCCACCGATTGGAATATGCTAATCTGTGTGCAGAGACCCTTGGTTCCGTGTGCAACAAATGCCTGCCAGCACCAATGGGTTTGTAGAGCCAAAGATCTCCACTTCAATCAGTAAAATATGTCTGGACATATTAACCCGAAGCTATTCACAATACCGATATTATTGGTGGACCCACAAGCTGACCATGATTCATAGTGCAGGCGTGGCTTTGATAAAAGGCACAAAGAAGCTGACTCTTGGCATATCTGCTCCAATCTGAGGTGGTGATACTCATTTTTATGACCTTACACATTAAAAACAAGGCCACAAAAATTCATTTTATGTCGGCTTTTCTCTCAGCAGCCCCAAATGATCTCAGTCCCAGAATAGATTGAGATAGTGCCCTACAGGTGAAATATGTTTTAGCTCTCAATTATTATTATTATTATTATTATTAGTAGTAGTAGTAGTAGTAGTAGTAGTAGTAGTAGTATTTTGAGATGGAGTTTCGCTCTTGCCCAGGCTGCAGTGAAATGGCACAGTCTTGGCTCACCACAACCTCCACCTCCCAGGTTCAAGCAACTCTCCTGCCTCAGCCTCTTGAGTAGCTAGGATTACAGGCATGCATCACCACATCCAGCTAATTTTGTATTTTTAGTAGAGACAGGGTTTCTCCATGTTGGTCAGGCTGGTCTCTATCTCCAGACCTCAGGAGATCTGCCTGCTTCAGCCTCCCAAAGCACTGGGATTACAGGTGTGAGCCACTGTGCCCAGCCTAGCTCTCAATTATTATTTTTATTTTTGCTTTTAAAAATTATTTCTGTAAACCTAGAATGCACCCAAAAATATACAAAAACTTGAGCCAAAAGTCTTAATACAGACTTTGTGTCAGCTTTCACAAGCAGCTCTACTGATTCATTTTCTTTTCCACCTCCACTTCACATCACCTCTACATCAGTCCTAACTCCTCGCCTCCTGAGAAACCCTTTTCTGAGAATACAGCAGATGGTTTTTTAGATGAAAACACAGGAAAACAAATGCTAAACAGAAGAATGTTCTACCTTCTCAGGAAAATAAAGAGGGTACCTAGAGGAACATTGAATAATACTGGTCTAGGATTGTTACCTATGGCGGAGGAGGAAAAGAGGAGTCTCAGAGGAAAACACTGCTCATTTCTGTGCACTGGAAAGTGTGTTGTTTGCCATTTGACGAGTCCATTTAATACTGTAAGTTTACTTACTGACCCCCTTGAAAGTGCCAATTCTCTAAAATGATGTCATTTCCCTTAATTGAGACATGAATGAATGCATCAGGATTCAGAGGAGGTTGACCCTTCTGGAGTGCTAGTGCCTAACAGAACTTAACCTTGAAGTCAAGTTTAGGACCATAGGAAACCTCCATAACGAAGGCTAGTTATTGTTGATGCAGTCAGTCTCAGCTTCTTCACAGGATAACACCTTTGGACAGCAATAGTAGGGAAAATTCTCTCTTGTGCTCAGTACTATAGTCTACCTTCCTACATAATTTAAGTACTAATTTCCATTTCTTCGAGGCTACTGTGGCCAAAGGAGAGCTATTAAATGTGTTGTGTCTCCTCCTCCCCATCCCACTGCCTCCATCTTGGCCAATCTTCTTCCCTAGAGCGGCTCTCCTGTTACATCCAATCAGCCTGTGGCTCCCACTCTTTCCTCTTCCTGAGGCCATTCTTCCAGGCAACATCTTTTCTGACTTCCCCAATTAAATTTGCTAAACTTGTGGGATATGTACCAATGACATGTGCCATAGTGGGAAGACAGGCTTTTGGTGGACAAACAGACCTGGAGTCAAAATTATCTCTTGCACAAAACATAATACCTCACCCACAACATTTTTCCCTCACCAGAGTGAATCATGACCACAGATCCTGGTATCTTTTGTCCCAACCCAGAAATCTAAAAGCCAGTCTGACCTGCATAATCCCAAGCAAGTCAGTCCTTTTGTACTGTGATGGTTAATTTTGGGGGTCAACTTGACTAGATTGAGGGATACCCAGATAGCTGGTAAAGCATCAATTATTCTCAGTGCAGCAGTAGGTACTGAGCCTGTCTCTCTCCTGCTGAAAGGAAAACCCAGGTGGATTCACTTTTTTTTGGGGGGGGGGATTTTTTACCACATATTTATTTATTTATTTATTTATTATTATACTTTAAGTTTTAGGGTACATGTGCACAATGTGCAGGTTAGTTACATATGTATACATGTGCCATGTTGGTGTGCTGCACCCATTAACTCGTCATTTAATATTAGGTATATCTCCTAATGCTATCCCTCCCCCCTCCCCCCACCCCACCACAGGCCCCGGTGTGTGGTGTGTGATGTTCCCCTTCCTGTGTTGCTTTTGATTAGAACGATGAATGATGGGGCTGTTCCAGGTGTGTCTATGAGGGTGTTTCCAGAGGACATTGGTATATGAGCCAGTGGACTGAGTGGGAAGATCTGCCCTCAATGTGGACAGGTGCCATCCAATTGGATGGAGGCCTGAATGGAACAAAAAGATGAAGAAAGGGCAAATTTAATCTCTGTGCCAGTGCCAAGACATTCTTCTTTTCCTGCCCTTGGGTATCAAAACACCAGGTTCTCTGGCCTTCGGACTCCAGGACTTATGTGACACCCACCTCCCCACCCTCATGCTGTTAGACCTTCAGCTTCTGAGTGAGGGTTACACCATTGGCTTCCTTGGTCCTGAGGCCTTTAGACATGGGCCAAGCCATGCTATCTGCTTTCCTGGTTCTCCAGCTTGCAGACAGCCTATCTTGAGACTTCCCAGCTTCCATAATCAAGGGAGCCAATTCCTCTAACAAATCCCTTTTTATGTATTACTGTCTATATTCTATAGTTTCTCTCTCTGGAGAAAGCTGACTAAAACAAGTCCCTTTCACATGACTAGAAAAGACCCTAAAATCCCATTTCTTTCTCAGAATCTTCAAAACATGTTCCTATGGCAAAATATTCTGCTCATTTTGACATTCTAAATGGTATATATATCCCTGTTACTACACATCAAAAGTGAGTTATTCTAGTTTTGGGGAGCCAAGAGTCCTTTTAACACACTCCCTTTAGCTCCATGGAAAAGATCCTCCCTTCTTTACATAAATAATTTACTGATTCATCAAATCACCAGCCAATCTGTCTCCTCTCACTTGTAACTTTCTCACTTTATGTTGACTTGGTTCAAGGTCAAATAGGAAACTTTAATTAGTTCCAACCTCACAAGTTTAAAGATAAATTTATGAGGTTGTTTTTTTTTTCCCCCAAATAGGTGAAGTTCTGTCTCCTGGCTGCATTCTGCAGCTAGTAATTGATTTGTTTAGTTACATATAAAGAAGCTGAGCATTCTATAACACATTGCTGTTCAATAGAACTCTCTATTATGATAGAAGTTTTTTATATCTATGGTAGCACTATCCACCTGTGACTATTAAGGACTAAAAACATAGCTAGTATGACTGAGAACTACTTTTTAAATTGTACTTGCTATGGTTTGAAGGTTTGTCCCCTTCAAAACTCATGTTGAAAGTTAATCTCCAATGTGGCAGAATTGACAGGCAGGGCCTTTAAGAGGTGAGTGGGTCATGGGGGCTCTGCTCTCATGAATAGATTAATTCATTCATGAATTAATGGATTAATATGTTAATGGATTAATATGTTAATGGATTAGTGGGTGCATGGGAGTGGGATTTGTGGCTTTAGAACAAGAGGAAGACAGACCCAAGCTAGCAAGCTTAGCTCCTAACCATGTGATGCCCTGAACTGCCTTGGGACTCTGCAGAGAGTCCTCACTAGCCAGAAGGCCCTCACCAGATGTAGCCCCTTGACCTTGGACTTACCAGCCTATATAACATAAGGAATAAATTATTTTTCTCTATAAATTACCCAGTTTCAGTTATTCTTTTAGAAGCAACAGAAAACAGAGTATGACAGTACTTAATTGTAATTAATTTCATTTTAAATAGCCACAGGAAACTAGTGCCTACTGTACCGTGCAGTGCAACGCTAGATTAATAATGGTGACAAGGTCCTATTTCCACTGGAAATAAAAACTTATTTTAAAAGTCCAAAATAATAATAATAGCCATCATTGCTATCACTGCTCATGTAGAGGGGACAATTAGAGATAATGAGTTAATTTAAGGATCCATATTTTCTTTATTTAGTAGAACCCTAGTGAATAATCTAAAATCATGGTCTGTTAGGGACAATGATAACAACGTATAGAAATTTTTACTCATAGAAGGCAGTATCACCAGTTAGAATGGCGATCATTAAAAAGTCAGGAAACAACAGGTGCTGGAGAGGATGTGGAGAAATAGGAACACTTTTACACTGTTGGTGGGACTGTAAACTAGTTCAACCATTGTGGAAGTCAGTGTGGCAATTCCTCAGGGATCTAGAACTAGAAATACCATTTGACCCAGCCATCCCACTACTGGGTATATACCCAAAGGATTATAAATCATGCTGCTATAAAGACACATGCACACGTATGTTTATTGCGGCACTATTCACAATAGCAAAGACTTGGAACCAACCCAAATGTCCAACAATGATAGACTGGATTAAGAAAATGTGGCACATATACACCATGGAATACTATGCAGCCACAAAAAATGATGAGTTCATGTCCTTTGTAGGGACATGGATGAAGCTGGAAACTATCATTCTCAGCAAACTATCGCAAGGACTAAAAACCAAACACTGCATGTTCTCACTCATAGGTGGAAATTGAACAATGAGAACACGTGGACACAGGAAGAGGAACATCACACACTGGGGCCTGTTGTTGGGTGGGGGGACGGGGGAGGGATAGCATTAGGAGATATACCTAATGTTAAATGACGAGTTAATGGGTGCAGCACACCAACATGGCACATGTATACATATGTAACTAACCTGCACATTGTGCACATGTACCCTAAAACTTAAAGTATAATAATAAAAAAAAAACCATAGGAAGCAAACAGATCCAGAATTCAGGGAATACACCACCTATAATAAATTATACCTAGCTGTCTTTCTCCACTAAAAAATACAATTATAGTAATTTAATAGCCTAAAAAAAAAAAAAAAGAAGGCAGTATAACATAAAAGGGCACAGTCTCTGGGCCTAGACTTCCTTATGAGCTGTGTATCTTAGCCAAGTTCTTAACCTGTTGTGCCTTATTTCCCTCAACAGTAAGATTGGGACAATAATAATGTTGTTAATCCATATAAAATACTTAGAACAGAGACTTGCACATGATAAGTACTCCATAAATGTTAGCTGTCATCCTCCTTAAAGAATAAAGACAGCCCCAAATCTATATTAACCCTGGCATCAGACATGACTGATTTCTTTCTCTCAAAGGATTCAAGTCATGTTAGAAACATGTGATATCTGTGGTCTAAGGAAGTTTGACATTTAATAAAAGTCAAGTGGCCTTCTATCAAAAGACTTCCCATGGTAATTGTCAATTAGTTATTCAAGGGCCTGTCGATAGAATTTTCCCACATCTGGTTGAACATGAGCACTCCATTAGCAAAAGCATTTACAGAGGAAGCATGATGCATTGAACCCCTTCTTTCATCTAAGAAGAACATTTCCTTAGATTTAATCAGTCTTAACCAGAAACTACAGACATTCAAGTAGAGATGTAAGGAAAATTTTAATGGGGTAACAAATTCCTCAAAAAATATTATCAGAAATATTGTTTGTAATAAATCAAAAGCTAATTTTGCCACAATGTAAACTTCATTATTATAATACTGCTTAAAATGGGTTCATTCTACCAAAAGTAATACAATTTAAAAAGAAACACAAATTTTAAAATAATTTTGTTCATATTTTTCTCAGTTTTTGATCTCCTAGTTTTTTCCTACTCAAAAATATTACTTTCAAAACCTTTATTTTTCTTAGAAAACAAGTAAAAATAATGCTATGGGAGTTATTAAATAAGGTTGTCATTAGAAACAACTAGAAATTCTAGAGAAGAAACCTGACTTGTGATGTCATATTTGTTAGGGAATTTTAAAATATGGTTTTTTCCTTACAATTCCCCCACTGGACAAAATGACTTCTGTATGGCAGACATTGAGAAGAAAGGAGTAATCTACACATCTCTCCTCCTGGTTCTTATCCCCACCCCATTTCCTCCAGCCAGGGAGGTCCCCGGAAGGAGCATTGATTGGGATGAGAGGAAACAGATCCTATTCCTTTCCTCTAACTTCCTGGCCTTCAGCAACCCACTCAACCTTAAAACCTGGTTCTTCAATTGAAAATTAGTAATTGGCAATGTGGTAATTTCCAAGATCCCTTCTGATTCTAAGAGTCTGTAAACTTAAAATTTACAGAAAATCTCTTAATTAGCTTCTATTTATCAGCTAATGTAGGTATCATTTATATTTTCCCTTCAAATGAGTTTTGTTCTTATAAATGCATCTTCATGAGATGTAGCCCAGCCTACCCAACTATGATGCCACTCTTCTGGATCTTCTCTTCCAAGTACTCCCTAGTCTTAGAATAATGGAGTATAATACCCCACAAGAGCAGCAGAGTTTTAGGAGCAGATGATTAAGTGTTGAGGTTAAATGACGTCTGTTAGACTACACTATGTGGAAGGATGAATACGGGTAAACAACATTTTAATATCACCAATCGATTATTTTTACAACTGATTATTGTAAAAAATGTCTACTGTTTAATTTTTTCAGTACCATATGCTTGGCATAAGGTAGAAGCAATCAAAACTAAGAAGCTGTCTTGTATTTATGAACCTCTAAAAGTGGGCCTAAGAGTGCTTTGAAAACTTGCAAGCTCCATGGAACAACCTCAGAGAAGCTGAGTGATCTCTTCCAGTCCCAGGCACAGTCAAAGATAGAACCTCCTGCAATTATTTCCCTGACTCCTAGACCCTTCATTACCCTACCCTAGGAGGCTAGGAATACCCATTCTCTATGATTTGCACCCATTTTCTGTAACTAGCCTCTGGTCTGGCTTGCCCTTAGTCACACCTCATCTTGTACCGTGGTTCCAATAACTGTATCAAGATCTTGTCCTCAGGTGTTCTCCTGAATTCTTAGCTGGCTGTTAGGACTGTCCCTGTCCACCACACCTTCATAGCTAGCTGAGAAGTGGAGTCACTTCTCAGCAGTTTGGATACCTGTGCTCTTGTCTTGCTTTTCAAACTCTTCAGCTATTGTTATCCTCCCTCTGAGTCCCTGGTCCAAAGCTGTCCTTCATACCTGTGCTTGTGTTAAAAGAGCATAAATAACAATGAGTCTAGCCCTGCCAATTCAGAATGACATCTCTTAGATGCTGGCACTGTGCTGGGATTTGGGGTACAATAACAAATAAAGCATTGTTCCTGTCTGGAGTTGCTAACAGTCTAGAGCCAGGGTTCCCTGTCTGTGGCTTCAGGGTCATCAGAGGTTCCTGAAAAGTCACATGTGCTCTGGGCATTTTCAACCATAGTGTTCGTTCTGGGGTTTGGAGTTTTGTGTTTCTTAATCTGTTTCTGTGTGTAGTCTCTTTCTTGAGGACACAGCATACACTGTTTAATAAATATGATTCAATAATAATAATTGAGTTTGGAGTTCTTTCTGACTTTTTCAGAGAACATTCCACTTTTAAATGAAGGCATTGTCATTTTCATTTCTTTTTAAATCTTCAACACTTTAAATACTCATAACAGTAGACCTGTGTTACATGATTAAAATGTTGTAAGTCATTTGATATATTGTCCCCAGATGGGAGATGTAAAATAGGATGTTTGTCCACAAATCCTCTTCCAAAACTTAGCAAAGAAGTGGGTAGGAAGGAGCAGTACAGTTTGCCAGTTCTCTGGATGTGTTTATTTAGTTCATCTGCTTGCAAAGCATTTCTGTATCTCATTTGTTTTTATTCCAGGAAAAGACTGACAAATGAGTTATAAAATTCCCACTATATATATGAAGAAACTAAGCATAAGTGAGGTCAGAGAATCTCCCAGAAATAACATATTTGACAGTGGCAGTGTTGAATCCAGGGATTGAAAATCTAGCACGGGTGGGCCATGTGGGTATAGGGGACTTTCCAGTTCCGCTTCTGGACACTGCCCGTTCTTTGTCTATCCCATGGGTTGGGTGGTCTCTATGGTCCTTCGAGCCCCTCATCCAGATATCCAGATAGCCAGCCTCCTGTTCATTTGTTCTCCACTTTCTTCCCACTTCTATGTCTAGCACCAAGTGCACTTTGATTGTTAGGCCTTCCCATGTCCCTGAGACATGGGCGATTAGACCCCCCAGGAGAGCTCCCCAAGATGCTCAGAATCCTACTCCTAAATCATTCTAAGGAACCTGAGAGGAGGAAGAGTCCGGGAACTCAGAGCTCACATCCTTTCCTATGCAGATAAACTCAGTAACGCACATCTACATAAAGGTGGGACAAAATTCCCAGCAGCAGGGAGAAGACTCAGCAAGGCCCTGGTGGGGGCAATTCTAGGCGGACGTGAGTCACTGACACTCACTGACCTCACTGGGCGGTGCCCTCCTGAGCACTCAGCCACACCCACAGCCCCTTTGCCTTTGCATCACAGGGGAGAAGCAGGTGGAGAGGAAAAGCACAGAAACATGTCTGGCCCTGACCACAGGGCACAGCTTCCTGAAAGAAAAAACTTGGATTGTTCATAGGAAATAATGGAACAAGCATTAGTTAATCTAATTATGGTATTAAAAACAAACAAACAAACAAACAAAAACAGAGGGTTTCCCGAATGATTTCTTTGCTGACTTCTCACTTGGGTTGAGAGACCCAGGAAGAAGCAATAAGTATGTCACAGTCCAACAGGGTTTGGCCCACCATCTGATAAAAATGAGTGTCCATGCTTACAATAACAGCTAATATTTATTGTGTGTGTACTAGATGCCAGACATGCTCTAAGTGTATAATCTCATTTTGTCCTCAAATAACCCTAGAAATTGCCATTATTTCCAATTACAGATACAAATCTATTTGGGAATATTCTGGGTACTGACCTACTATTTGGTCTAAGGCTTCTACATCTTTTTCAACTTGGAGAACATTTTGGAAATTTTTTTTCTCAGTCAATCTTCAAAACACAAGATTTCTTGGCCCATTATTTATACAGGTTCTATAAGAGTAAAATAGGTTCTCCCCTGGGGAGAGGGACTTTAAAAAGTGCGAGAAATAGCAAAGACAGGAGGTTGTCACTCAAACAAGTAGATATGCTAAAGCTGCCAGCAGAGACAGACTAGCAGGTAGTGGAATAATAATTAATATTTTATTACTCTCAGAGCTTCATTCTTTCATTAATGTTTGAATAAGATAGGTCTGTTTTATAATGTTTTCTTATGTGTGTTTCTGGGTCTACTTACTTCTCCTGTATGTTTTGTCTTTTTTCCCCCTTTCAGGTTTTTTCTTTCTTGTTTCTGTCATTCAGTTTCAGGTAGCCTTTTGGGTCTCTTTTTGCTTTGAAGATTATCTCTTTTTTTTTAATCCTTGCTTTTTGTTGGAGGAGTCTTTACCTCTATCATTGTCATTTGTTAAAACTATGTTATTTTTCCATTCCTCTCTTTTCATCCACTTAGCCAATTGTGATCTGTTTTCATTCATTCTGTTTTTAATTACAAGCTTCCTCGCATGGTGCTTTTTCTCTGCTCTCCTTCATAATTTTCCTTTATCTCTTCATAACTAATTTTTTTCTCTAATTAATGGGAAGCTTATCTAACTATTCAAGTATTTATGATTTCTCCCTAATTGGTCCTTCTTTCTCCTTTCCTTGGGATCTTCCTCCAGCACTCAATTTGGTAATGCACTGAGTTGAAACAGAAGGATCTCACAATTTTTCCATTACTCAGTCATTCTCTATCTTTCAGAAACAAGTTCATGAAATTACCTACAGTGCCTTTAGGCTATAGTTCTCCCTTTAGCTTAGATTAAAATGTGACAGGTGTAGCTGGAAGTTACCTACATTAATCACAGACAGAATATAAGGAACAAAGTGCATCAGGAGGTAAGGACTGGAGTGCAAGAGCTTCTAACTAGTGAAAGCAAGGTACTTACGTGTGCAGACAGTCAGAAAATGGTCCTCTCAATCAATGATGTGGGAGATGAGCTGGAGTTTCCTTTGTCTCCCTGAAGTTGTAAATCTTTGAAAACAAAAGCAATTTTGAAAAATATAGTTAAAAATGTTTCATGGGGGTCTCACTGCCTTTTTTTGGAGACAATTTTCCAGGCCACCTTGCATTTGTTTGGTTCTTATTTCCAAAAGGCATTGGCATTATCTCAATTCATCTTATTAATAACTCTAAGAAAAAAAAAAACTGCACTGAAATTGCCCAGTTCACAGGTGAGCTTTCTCAGGGATGGAGTTTCACTTGTTCAATCTAATGTAAGATTTAATAACAAACAAGGTTTTCGGTCTATGTCTGTTGAGTTCTGTGCTTTCTCAAGATTTAGTTCCCTGCCACTCTCATCTTCCCTACGCACTCCCTGCTTCTATATTCCTGTTTTCTCTCCTTTTACAACTTTTGGAATCTTTCATATTTTATCACTAGAGAAACAGGATGATATGAACTAACTGAGGGAGAAGAAAATAGTCACCACTTTCATGTGTTCTAATGAAGTTGACCATACTCGATATATCTAAACCTCGCCTAGGAATTATTCAGATACAAAGATACTATCTCTGAGGGGTTCATTAAAAATTCAATTGAGGCCGGGTGTGCTGGCTCACACCTGTAATCCCAGCACTTTGGGAGGCTGAGGCGGGCAGATCACGAGGTCAGGAGATCAAGACCATCCTGGCCAACATAGTGAAACCTCGTCTTTACTAAAAATACAAAAAATTAGCTGGGCGTGGTGGTGCACGCCTGTAGTCCCAGCTACTCAGGAGGCTGAGGCAGGAGACGTGCTTGAATCAGGGAGACGGAGGTTGCAGTGAGCTGAGATCGTGCCACTCCAGCCTGGGTGACAGAGCGACACTCTGTCTCAAAAACAAACAAACAAACAAACAAAAACAACAAAAACAAACAAAAATTCCATTGAAGAAAACAGATAAATCAAGGATGAAAATGACAGTGAAGGCAGGTCTGGCCCACTGTTTAGTAGGGAGGAAGTCTAAGAGCCTCACATAGTGAGAAGGCTGAGGAACAGAAGGCCAAATACTTATTTTAGGTTTTATTTTTACTGCCTTTATTGCTCTTAACTCCGCAGACTTCTCTAGCAACAGCAGCAGCTATGACCCTCCCCAGGTTCTGGAATGCTCAGAAATCTAAACTCTGCCTCCCACTGCTTCTGTGTGGAGGGAAAAACAACTGAACATTCCCCAAAAAGCTTCTTATCACAAGTGTCTAAAAATTCTTTGAGTGTGCTCTCAAGATATGCTGTCATGTGTCAGCTTCCTTGTTTACTTTTTCAGAGCCTCAAGGGACTGAAACCTGTGGTTTTGTGAAACACAATTCCTTTTTTACTATCATTATCCATAAGCTTGTGCTCAAGGTCACCCGTTTTACTGTTCACGTTCACTTTCAACTAGGCCTGAAATGATACCAAAGAGATGGAAGGAAGCTTCTGGCTTTATCCCAAGTGAAGCAGGCACCTCCCTGTTTTAGCATATGATTCTGCTTAGCTTCCTATAGCTCGTCTTTCTCCATTTGACTTGCTTGCTCACTCACTTGCAATTGTAGGCATTTGCTTTATCATCCTTTGGTGAAGATGAGGGTGAAAGTGAGTGTGAGAGAGTATGGAAAATGGGTAGGAATGGAGGAACAACTGAGCAGATATGCTGTCTGGCCACCTAGTCTTCATAAAAAATTTGATAGCCCCTACCCAAAAGAATATAAATCATTCTACTATAAAGACACACACACATTTATGTTTATTGCAGTGCTATTTACAATAGTAAAGACGTGGAACCAACCCAAATGTCCATCAATGACAGACTGGGTAAAGAAAATGTAGTACATATACACCGTGGAACACTATGCAGCCACAAAAAGGAATGAGATCCTGTCCTTTGTAGGGACGTGGATGAAGCCATCATCCTCAACAAACTAACACAGGAACAGAAAACCAAACACTGCATGTTCTTACTCATAAGTGGGAGTTGAACATTGAGAACACATGGACACAGGGAGAGGAACATCACACACTAGAGCCTGTTGGCGGGTGGGGGTTGAAGAGAAGAAATTTAGAGGAGGGGTCAATAGGTGCAGCAAACCACCATGGCACACGTATACCTATGTAATGGCTTATGTAACAAACATGCATGTACTGTACATGTATCCCCTTTTTTTAGAAGAACTAGAGAAAAAAATAATAAAATAAAATAAAAAATTTGATAGCCCCATTGCACTACTTGATGGGAGAGGCCAGCTGGGATGGCAGAGGGTCTGTGGTCTGTGGTCATAATTCTTGGTCTAATCTAAGTTGATGAAAACTGCTCTTGGAAATATTTATTAATAGTTCTGAAGCCAACTTGAATAACAAATCTGGTGTGAAAATAGATCTTATCCTGTTTCCCTGTCGTCAGTCACTTTTCTGATTTCATCCTGGAATACAAACATATCAGATAAATTTAGTCTGTCTAAGGAGAAGCATTATATGTTTTTAATGACCAATAACAATTTATCTTGAGAAATCTGTTTTCCACTAACTGATGTAGCCCAGTAAATGGCTAAGGGAATTGTATTTTTTCATAACCAACAACTCTCTCGGTGATGCTTTTCCAAATAGGTGCACAAACCAAGAAAAAATATGTCATAAATGTTATTGAAAAAACTAGTTTTCTGAGACAGTGAAAACATTTGATTTATTTAAATTAAAGCAGAATGGCAGTGGCTTGCGTTTAATTCATGTTGTCTATGAAATTGAAGCAATGCATTCGTCTTGATTTTTCATGCTCATTGTCCCTCTCTTTAAATGGTCAACTTCAGTTGCCTGTTATTTGCTCAAGTTGTTTACCTTTGAGTATGTTTTTGACCAACAATCAAACAAGTGTATTGAAATGTCATAGTTTAACACATGGTCAGTAGTCTCCTTTAGAAAATCCATTTGTCCTCACAGAGTATTTACAGCCCCCAAAAGATGTTATTTTCTTTGATAATGAAACAATGTTGTGCTTAGGAATTTGGTAATGGGAATAGACTGTTTGCTAGTACCCAAAATGCTAAAATTGAAAGAATCCTCATAAATATTTAGAAGCTAGCATATGCAATCACTTAAAGTTTGGTGTGTAGGTACCTTCCATGAATTTCAGAGTCAGCTTGGCAAAGGAAGATGACTGATTAACACATGTTCCAAGTAATTTTGTAAACTGATACTGATCACTTCTAAAATCCTCTTAAACTTCACAAATTTGAGATGTGTGGAAAGGTATATAGAAGTATCTTAATTTTGGAGATAAAATCTTCATATTTTTTACACCAAACTCTGCAAGTAAAACTGATAGTTTATGTTAAAATGTCATTTTTTGCAACTAGCACAAAACTAAAAAGTGTTTTAAATACCTCAAAACAGGTGACTGTATAAGAAACCCTGTGCCTCAGAAATGAATATGTAGAAATGTGTTTTACCAAAATCAGGGTTATATGAATATATTTTCTTTTCTTTCTTTCTTTTTTTTTTTTTTTTTTTTTTTTTTTTTTTTTTTTTTTTTTGAGATGGAGTCTTGCACTGTCGTCTGGGCTGGAGTGCAGGGGCACAATCTCAGCTCACTGCAACCTCCACCTCCTGGATTCACGCCATTCTCCTGCCTCAGCCTCCTGAGTAGCTGGGATTACAGGCACCCACTACCACGCCCAGCTAATTTTTTGTATTTTTAGTAGAGAAGGGGTTTCACCATGTTGGCCAGGCGGGTCTGGAACCCCTGACCTTGTGATTCACCTGTCTCGGCCTCCCAAAGTGCTGGGATTATAGGCGTGAGCCACTGCGCCCAGCTATATGAATATATTTTCTAAGTGTGCCTTAGGTTGTACATGTCAACAACATTATTTATAATTAACTTATACCAGCATTTACATACATTTTTCTTTTATAGAAAAAGGTCATCATCACACACAAGGCTAAATTATAGGAATGTATAGAATAATTTTTAAGGAAATATTATTTTTTCCTTTTACATGGAACATGTAAAATAGTATCATTTATAAGTGAAATGAGGTGAAATAAATTACAGTTCTCAATAGGCTTGCACTAAAAACCCCAAAGACCTTTATATTACAGGAACCTGCTAGTCCTGAAAACGAAAGGCAAGCTAAAAGAATCTTTACTGTTTCAGCTCCCTTAGTTTGGAAAATGTAAAAACTGCTCTGAAAACAGAGTATTTTATTCTTAATAGCTCAAAACATTTTCAATGAGGAAATGATTTTCAATATTCTATTAAGCAGGAATCATAGGAGGGATGTTTATGCAAAATTCTGGATTAGTAGAGTACAAATTAAATAGTAATTATAGTAAAACAGAAACAGATTGTCCAATCATAACTCTAGAGGTACTTTAAAAATTCAGCCACAAAGCAAGATTTGGGAACATGTTGTGATTATTGAGTGACCGTGTGGGTAGCAGCTGTCTTCTGAGTTTGGAAGGGGCTAAATGTCTGAGTTTCCAAAGCTTTATTTGTCATAGGATGCCATATTGAAATGGCTTATCAATCTTTCCCCAGAATTTAGTTCAAGAGGAAGATGACTATGAACTTCAGAGTAAAAATGAGTAGCCAAGCTTTCATCATGGGAGGAAGAAAAGATTTATAACCAGACACATATGATAGTCATTTACTTTATTATTAATGCTTTTGAACCTAAGTAAATTTAGTATTGCAGGTATCACACAAAGAAGGAATCCTTCTCTGGGCTGGAATGAACTCAGAGAAAGGATCCATGGATTACCCTGGTGAACCTGATACTTTACTCTGGACGATTTTTCCCATCACTCCCTATTTATTGCCGTGTTGTCCTCCTTTATCCTTCCATTGTGAATCACACAAGCTCATATCATGGATATAGGAGGAAAACAACACCTCTGATCCCAGGCCAAGCTCTGAATTAACCAAGACATACAGCAGGACTCTTGTGGATAGAGATCAATAGATCTGATTTAATAGTAACAAAGCTATTTGTTCAATACAGTTAGATGTAGCCAAGCTCTGAATTAACCAAGATATACAGCAGGACTCTTGTAGATAGAGATCAATAGGTCTGATTTAATAGTAACAAAGCTATTTTTTCAATACAGTTAGATGTAGCCAAAAATGAGCTTGATAACGTTATTCAAAATTAAATACTCACCCCAGAACATAAATTTTCTGCAAGCAGACACCTCCACCAAAAGAAAGCAGAAGCCCAGTCTGTCTCCAGAACTCAGCAATCACCCTAAATGGTAAAGAGAACTCAAGAGTGTTACTCTAATTCACTGGTTCTCAAATGTGTTAGAGGGCCAAGGCACCCATAAACCCTTTCCAGGAATCCACAAAGTCAAAACTACTTTTATGATGACACCATTGCCTTTTTCACTCCCATTTTCTTACAAATATATAGTTGGGTTTCCAGAGGCTATATGACACATAATATTGTAACAGATTGAATGTAAAATTCAGAATCCATCTGATTCCCATTAAAGACATTCATTAAATTGATTTTCAAAAATGTAAAACAATGCCACTTTTCTCACTAGGTTATTTCCTGAACTATTTTAAAAGCTTTTAGTTTTGGACACCATTTTAAGCTTACGGAAGAGTTACAAAGATAGCACAAACAGTTCCAGTATACCCTTCACCCAGTTTCCTCTGTCAACATTTCATATAATCATAATGCAGCTACCAAAACTAAGGAATCAACATTGATATAATACTACTAACTAAACTACAGAATTTATTTGGATTTCAAAAGATTTTACATTAACATATTTACTCTGATCCAGGATCTAGTTCAGGGTACTACATTGCATTTAGTAGTCATATCTCTTTAGTATTGTCTGATCTGATAGTCAGTTGTACTTGTCCTGCATGACCTTGACATTTTAAAACAGTACTGGTAAGAGATTTTGTAGAATGGCCCTCAACTTGGGTTTGTCTGATATTTTCTCATGATTAGATTAAAGTTACGGATATGCGAAGGGAATGCCACAGAGGTGGTGATGTGTATTTCTCCGGGAATATATGATATCAATATGTCTTGACACTGGTGATAATAAATTTAATTATTTGGTTAAGGCTGTGTCTACCAGGTTTCTCCATAGTAAATCACAACTTTTCACTTTGTAATCAATAAAAATTTGGTCTATGCAAAACCTTATTTATCCTTAAACTTTTGCCCACTAATTTTAGCATTTATTGGTGGATTGTATTATTATGGTGTTCTAATGGTGATTTCCTATTTCCCTCATTTCATTTGATGTGGTTTGGCTGTGTCCCCACCCAAATCTCATCTTAAATTGTAGCTCTCCTAATCCCCACATATTGTGGAAAGGACCCTGTGGGAGGTAATTTAATCATGGGGGTGGTTTTTCCCAGGCTGTTCTCCTGATAGCGAATACGTCTCATGAGATCTGATGGTTTTATACAGGGCAGTTCCCCTGCACACGCTCTCTTGCCTGCTGTCATGTAAGATGTTGTTTACCTCTGCCATAACTGTGAGGCCTCCCCAGCCATGTGGAATTGTGAGTCTATTAAACCTCTTTTTGCCTATAAATTAACCAGTCTAGGGTATTTCTTCATAGCAGTATGAAAATGGACTAATACACCATGTAAATATGTAGTTTAAATAACTCTGTAAATGTTGTTCTTTATCACTCACTTATTTATTTATTCAATCATTAACATATCAATGTGGAGTCATGGACATTTATCTTATTCTTTAGATTGCATATATTATCATAAATTACATTATTGCTCCAATTGTTCCATCTTTGGCCATTGGAAGTTTTTCTTATTGGCTCATTTGTTCCTCTGAGACTTTCTTACTATCTGATACCACAAAATGTTTCAGCCTCATTTTGTACTTTTCCTGCTCCAGCCCTGGATCAACCAGTTCTCCCAAGAAGCCTAGTTCCTTTTACTGAAGATGGTATTTAGAAATCAAGATCTCTGAGTGCTGGGTGTCCTCATTGCTGTGGGAATACCACTGTTTCCAGATCCTAGAGTATAGAAATATATGTATGTATACAAACTAATGTCTATTTATCCATCTATCTATCTGTCATGTATTTGTTAAAAACCATAAGTTCATCTGGCAATTCAAAAAGCTAGAGCATTTCATTACATCCAAAGGATCACACTAGCTTCCTAGCAATGGATCCTAATGAGATTGAAATGTCTGAAATGACAGATATAGAATTCAGAACCTAGATAGTGAGGAAACTCAACAAGATCTAAGAGAAAGTGGAAATCCAATCCAGTGAAACCAGAAACACAATCCTAGATTTGAAAGATGGCATAGATATATTAAGAAACAACCAAACTGAATGTCTAGAATTTTAAAATTCACTAGAGGAATTTCAAAATATAATTTGAAGCCTTAACAGTAGGCTAGACCAAACAGAGGAAAGAATTTCAGAGCTCAAGGATCAGTCCTCCGAATCAATCAAGCCAGACAAAAATAAAGAAAACCTAATAAATTTTAATATGGACAAAGCGGGATTATATAAAGTGAACCAAATCCACAACTCAATGGCATACCTGAAAGAGAAGAAGAGAGAATAAACAACCTGCAGAACATATTTGAGAATATAATCCACAAAAGTGTCCCCAATATTACCGGAGAGGTTGACATGCAGATTCAATAAGTTCAGAGAACTCCTGCAAGATACTATGCAAGATGACCATCCTGAGGCACATAGGTATCAGGCTTTCCAAGGTCAATGGGGGAAAAAAAATCTTAAAGGCAGCTAGAGAAAAGGGTCATGTTACCTACAAATGGAATCCCATCAGCTTAACAGCAAACTTCTCAGCAGAAACCTTATAAGACAGAAGAGATCAGGGTCTATTTTTAGCATTATTAAAGAGAA
The DNA here is from genome assembly GCF_000001405.40 of Homo sapiens. NCBI lineage: Eukaryota > Metazoa > Chordata > Mammalia > Primates > Hominidae > Homo > Homo sapiens. Next base: position 126,744 of record NW_017363814.1, on the reverse strand, counting down.
CAACATTTCAACGAAGAATTTCATATCCTGCCAAATTAGGCTTCATAAGCAAAGGAGAAATTAAATATTTCCCAGATAAGCAATTGCTAAGAGAGTTCATTACCACTAGACAGGCCTTACAAGAGATGCTTAAGGGAGTTTTAAACATAGAAATGAAAAAAGGACACCTGCTACCACAGCCCACAGACCTTATAAAGCAACTACACAATCAAGTCTACAAAGCAACATGGTGACAACACCATGACAGGAACAAAACCACACATATAAATATTAATCTTGAATGTAAACAGTCTAAACACACCACTTAAGACACAAAGTGGCAAACTGGATTGAAATAAAGCAAGACAGAACCTTCTGCTGTCTTCGAGAGACCCATCTCACATGCAATGACACCCAAAAGCTCAAAGTAAAGAGATTAAGAAAGATCTGTCATGAAAATGAAAAACAAAAAAAGAACAAGAGTCGCCTGGGGGCAGTGGCTCACACCTGTAATCCCAGCACTTTGGGAGGCCGAGGGGGGCAAATCATGAGGTCAGGAGATCAAGGCCATCCTGGCTAACATGGTGAAACCCAGTCTCTACTAAAAATACAAAAAATTAGCCAAGCATGGTGGTGGGCGCCTGTAGTCCCAGCTATTCGGGAGGCTGAGGCAGGAGAATGACGTGAACCCAGGAGGTCGAGCTTGCAGTGAGCCGAGATCCCGCCACTGTACTCAGCCTGGGAGACAGAGCAAGATCTCAAAAAAAAAAAAAAAAAAAGAGCAAGAGTCACTATTCTTGTATTAGATAAAACATACTTTAAACCAACAATGGTAAAAAAGGGAATTACACAATGATAAATAGTTCAATTCAACAAGAAGACTTACTTACCCTAAGTATATATGCACCCAACATTGGAGCTCCCAGGTTTATAAAACAATTACTTCTAAACCTAGGAAGAGACTTAGTCACACAATAACAGTGAGGAACTTCAATACCCCACTGACAGCATTAGACAGATCATCAAGTTATAAAACTAACAAAGAAATTCTGGACTTAAAAATTGAACACTTAACCAATAGGACCTTATAAATATATAAAGAATATTCCACCCAACAACCACAGAATATAAATTATTCTTATCTGCACATGAAACATACTCTAAGATCAACCACATATTCATTCATAAAAAAGTCTCAATAAATTCAAAAAAATTGAAATTTTAACAAGCATATTCTCCAACCACAGTGGAATTAAAATAGAAACCAACAATAAAAGAATTCTCAAAGCCACACAATTACATGGAAACTAAACAACTTGCTCCTGAATGACTTTTGGATACACAAAAAATAAGGCAGAAATTTAAAAATTCTTTGAAATAAATGAAGATAGAGACACTACATACCAAAACCTCTAGGATGTATCTAAAGCAGTGTTAAGAGGAAAGTCTATAAAGTTAAAAACCTACATCAAGAAGATAGAAAGATCTCACATTAACAGTCTAATATCATATGCAAGGAACTAGAAAAGAAAGAATAATTCCAAAGCTAGCAGAAGAAAAGAAATAACTAAAATCAGAGTCAAACAAAACAAAATCAAGACTCAAAAAATCATACAAAGTATCAACCAAATAAAAAGTTAGTTATTTGAAAGGAAAAACAAGATTGATAGACCACTAGCTAGATTAACAAAGAAACAAAAAACGAGAAGATCCAAAGGAGTACAACCAGAAATGACAAAGAACAGATTACAAATGATCCCAGAGAAATTCAAAAGATCCTCAGAGACTATTATGAATACTTCTATGTGCGCAAACTGGAAAATCTAGAGAAAATGAATATAATCATGGAAACACACAGTCTCACATGACGGAATAGGAAAAAATTGAAACCCTAGACAGATTAAGAATGGTTATGAAATTGAATCAGTAATAAAAAAACCTACCAAACAAAAAAGCTCTAGATTAGATGGATTAATAGGCAAATTCTACCAGTGAAAAGCCGGTACCAAGTCTACTGAAACTATTCCAAAACATCAAGGAGGAAGAATTCCTTTCTGTATTAGTCCATTTTTACACTGCTGATAAAGACATACCGGAGACTGGGTAATTTATAAAGAAAAAGAGGTTTAATGGACTCACAGTTCCATGTGGCTGGGGAGGCCTCACAATCATGGCAGAAGGCAAAAGGCATGTCTTACATGGCAGCAGTCATGAGAGAGAATGACAAACCAAGCAAAAGAGGTTTCCTCTTATGAAACCATCAGATCTCATGAGACTTATTCACTACCAAAAGAACAGTATGGGGGAAACCACTGCCATGATTCAATTATCTTCCACTGGGTTCCTTCCACAACACATGGAAATTATGTGAGCTACAATTCAAGATGCGATTTGGGTGGGGACACAGCCAAACCATATCACTCCCTAACCCATTCTACGAAACCAGTATCATCCTAATACCAAAATCAGTGAAAGAGACACCAAAAAAAGAAAACTGCAGCCCAATAATCCTAATAAAATCCTCCACAAAATATGAGCAAATCAAATCCAGTAGCATATCAAAAAGTTATTTCACCATGATCAAGAAGGCTTCATTCCTGGATGCAAAGTTAGCTCAACATACACAACTCAATAAATATGATTCACAACATAAACACAAATAAAAACAAAAAAGATATGATCAACTCAATAGATGCCAAAAAGCATTCAATAAAAATTCAACGGCCCTTCATGATAAAAAAAAAAAAAACTCAACAAATTAGGCATTGAGGGAACATACCTCAAAATAATAAGAGTCATTGATGACAAACCCACAGTCAACATCATACTGACTGGGAAAAAGCTGGAAGCATTTCCCCTAACAACTGGAACACAAAAAGAATGTCCACTCTCACCACTTCTATTCAACATAGTACTGGAAGTCCTACCCAGAGCAATCAGGCAAGAGAAATAAATAAAAGCCATCTAAGTAGGAAAAGAGGAAGTCAAATTATCTCTCTTTGTTGATGATATGATTATTTACCTAAAAACCCTGAAGCCTCCACCAAAGGGCACCTAGACCTCATAAACAACTTTAGTAACATTTCAAGATACAAAATCAACATAAAAAAATCAGTTTTTCTGTACACCAATAACATACAGGCTGTGAGCAAAATCAAGAACATAATCCCATTTACAATAGCCACAAAAAAATAAAATACCTTATATAGCTAACCAAGGAGTTGAAAGATCTTTACAAGGAGAACTACAAAACACGGCTGACAGAAATCATAGATGACACCAAAAAAATGGAAAAATATTCCATGCTCATAGATTGGAAGAATCAATATCCTTGAAATGACCATACTGCCCAGAGCAATCTACAGTTTCCATGCTACTTCTATCCAATTACCTACATCATTTTTTCACAGACTTAAAAATAAAACTATTCTAAAATTCATTCATATGGAACCAAAAAAGAGCATGAATAGACAAAGTAATCCCAAACAAAAAGAACAGAGCCAGAGGCTTCACATTATCAAATTTCAAACCATACTGTAAGGCTACAGTAACCAGAACAGCATGGCACTGATACAAAAATAGACAGAGCAATGGAACAGTCTAGAGAATCCCAAAATAAAGTCATGTGCCTACAGGCATCTGATCTTTGACAAAATCAACCCATAAAAAAACAACAGGAAAAGGATCCCCTGGTCAATAAATAGTTCTGGGAAAACTGGCTAGCCATATGCAGAAGACTGAAACTGAACCCCTACAAATGCAGAAATTAACTCAAGATGGGATTAAACACTTAAATGTAAGACCTCAGACTATGAAAATCCTAGAACAAAACCTAGGAAGTATGTGTCTAGAAATTGGACTTGGCAAAGAATTTATGACTTAGTCCTCAAAAGCAGTTGCAAAAAACCATATCCAGTGACCTTCATTCCTGCATGTAGATACATATTTCCCTCCAGTATTATTTTCTCTCTGCCTGATGGCCTTTATCATTTCCTGCAAATCAGGTATGCTAATAAATAATGAATATTTTCAGTTTTTGAATGTCTGCAAAAGCATTAATTTTGTCTTCATTTTAAAAGATATATTTTTTCAGCTATTGGATTATTTTTGATGAAAAATATACTGTCATTTTCAGTATGAATTATATCATACTGCTTCATTGTATGCCTAGTCACTTTTGATTAGATATAAACATTGTGAATCTTATCTTGTTGGGTGCTGGATATAATATATGATATAACTTAAATATTGTATAATATTTTATATTATTTTAATAAGTAAATTAAATAATAAATTTTATAATATTTTATAATATTTTAAGTTATATTAACTTAATATAACATAATATTTTTAAATAACTAATATAACTTAAAATATTTTTAAGCTTTGTTCTGAGATGCAGTTAAGTTTCTTGTAAATAGCTTAACCCTTTTGAGGTGTACTTTTCATCTTTTTTTTAAGGGAGATCAAAGGAACTTTTAGTCTAGGGCTAATTTTTCCTTAGTACTGAAGCTATATACTTCTGAGTACCCAGTGCCTACATATTACAGAATTATTTTTCCACTTTGACTCATGGGGACACAAACTACTGCCAGCCAGGTGTGAGTCTCATGAATGGTTCTGGGTGTTCCTTTCAGGTAGTTCTTTCTCAGTGTTGTATTCTTTTATATGTATGCTCATTAATACTCAGATGAAGACTTGAGGGAGCTGTCTGCACATTTCTGATACCCTGTCTCTGTGTAAATGAACTTCTATTTATATTTTGTACTCTACCATATTAACTTGAAAATAGATCATAGACTTAATTATAAAACTTAGAAAGGTAAAATTCACTGTATTTAAATCATATATTAATTTAAAAATCAAAAAAGGAAAAATTCTATTATGGTAAACATTGTAGATTGAACCCACATTAACAAGAGTTCTTTTTGTTTTTAAGAATTGTTAAGAACATAAAGGGCTCCTAAAAGCAAAAATGATTAAGTACCACTGATCTACTGGAACTTCTCACACAGGCACAAATGAATGGTGGGGAGTATGTCCCTCTCAAATAGTTCTCTTCATTATTTATTCTCCAGGGCTTATGGATACTCTTTTCTAATAATAATGATTATCTTTTTTTTTCAAGAAGGAGTTTCACTGTTGTTGCCTAGGCTGGAGTGCAATGGCACAATCTCAGCTCACCACAATCTCCACCTCCCAGGTTCAAGCAATTCTCCTGCTTCAGCCTCCCGAGTAGCTGGAATTACAGGCATGTGCGACCACACCTGGCTAATTGGTTCTTTTTTTTTTTTTTTTTTGGTTGTTTGTTTGTGTGTTTTTTTTTTAGTAGAGATGGGGTTTCTCCTTGTTGGTCAGACTGGTCTCAAACTTCCCAACCTCAGGTGATCCACCTACCTCAGCCTCCCAAAGTGCTGGGATTACAGGCGTGAGCCACCGTGCCTGGCAATGATTATCATTTTTAAGTCCTTCCGTGAGTCTCACAAGCACTGCATATAGTACCACATTTAATCCTTATGCAACCATATATATTAACCTCTTGCAAACAAGAAAAATGGGTGTCAAAGATATTAATTAACGTGCCCAAGTCACATAAATCAAGAATTGGAATTCAGTCCAATCCTGTCCAATTCAAAAGCCCATGTTTCTCCACTACATCAGGGTCAGAGTAAAGTGATGAAATAATGCCCTCAGCTCAGGAGCATTGCTGAAGTCAGGTCAGAGTTACCTCTTCTGCCTGTCCGTTCTGAGGGACTAGCTTCCAGAATAAGAAATGGATAGGGTGATACCAGGTGGTACTGGGGCCTAGAGTTGCCTGAGGTGTCCTGGGAAGATTCCACTGCATTATTTGAAGGATGAAGGAGGATAGAGGGGGAAGTTTAGGACTCTAATATATTTCCCCTTTTGCCAAGGGTCTGAAGATCACAGATAAAGGAATAGGTGCATAATGACCAAAGACTTTGTGAGGATCTTACAGGCACAAAATGAAGAGAGTGATATTATTATGCCTTGGGAATGTAAATGTAAGCTTTCCCATTCCCAAGACCCTTTCTGGGAGTCTGCAAGGTCAAAACGATTTTCATAATACTTAGTTATTGTTTCACTTATTCATTCTTTATCTTATACAGTGGAGTTTTCCAGAGACTACATGATATGTGATATTGTAACACACAATCTACAGAAGCAGATATGAGAATCTAGCTGCATTACAGAGATTTGCAAAAATGCAAACCAACATTAATCTTTTTGTTATTGGGTGGGTCTTTGTTCTTAGAGCTCCCAAGATGGCGGTGGGCCACTCCCAAGATGGTGGCGGCCACTCCCAACATGGCAGCAAGCCTTTTGTTCTCTGACCTGGGGTTCTTGGCCTTACAGATTCCAAGGAATGGAACCTTGGGCCATGCAGTGAGTGTTATAGCTCTATTAGTAGCTGTGGGTCACGGAAGAGAACAGTGGAACCCAGCCACTAGTGTTCAGCTCGATTAGGATGAACCCGGGCACTTAGCCATGCAGGAACAATGGCGAGCCTCTAGCCCAAACGGGAGCGGCAATGGGCAATGGGCAATGGGCGCCTTGCTGGATCAGAAACGCAGTGGACACCCTGTCGGATCTGGAGGGGTAGAAGTCAATGGCGGGTCTGCCACGATGGTGAACAGCAGTGGATGATGAGCAAAAGCTCAGCTCGAGCCGGAACATTCACGGACCAGAAGAGTGTGCAGTTGCAAGATTTAATAGAGTGAAAACAGAGATCCCATACAATGGGAGGGAACCCAAAGAGGTTTGCCCACTCCCGGCTTGAATGCCTGGGGTTTATATCCCAATCATCATCCCTCACCCCATGCTCTCAGATGATAGATGATTTGACTATTTCTTTACCTCCTGATTTTAGCCTAATTGGTATTTTAGTGAGCCCTCTTTACTACCTGATTGGTCAGGTGTGAGCTGAGTTACAAGCCCCTGTTTAAAGGTGAGTGTGGTCACCTTCCCCAACCAGGCTTAGGAATTCTTAGTCGGCCTAGGAAATCCAGCTAGTCCTGTCTCTCATTTTCACCAAACTGTTTTTTGTTCTGGAAAATATAGTTAATTTTCTTAAATATATCTTATGTTAATATGAAAAGTGCTTATTACTGTTATTATAAATAAATTAATACATATTTTTATTTAAATTCATCATTTTAATTTCTAATATAATTATCAACACATAGATTCCACAGAAACAAAAACTCTTTGGAGTCTCAACAGTTTTTAAGAGTGTTAAGCCATCCTTAGATCAAAAAGTTTGAGAATCACTGGCTAATACCACCACTGAAAGATAACTAAGCTGTGACCCACAGAGTTGAAATGGATTACCCAAAGTACCTACAACCTGGCAGAGCTCAGACACAAAGCCAGGATTTCCCACTCCAAATGTTTTAATAACACCGGTCTGACCCTCTCTCCATCCTAAGTGAAGCCTTTCTCTATTTCCCCATTCTGTCTGCCCAACTGTAGACACTATATCCAAAGGCACATTGTTTTTTGTTTGTATGCAAACTTATCTAATTTTAGTTATAAACAAGGGTCACAACTTGCCACCAGCCATGCTGCCCCACCCCTCTTCAACACAGATGACCTCTCCATCCTCACCTGGTTTGGAACTACTTTAAATATAACTCATTCTCCTCCTAGAAGCTCATAATTGGAAACAGACTTTGGATCTTTTCTCCATCTCCAGGGTGGTCCTCATTGAGCTCTTCCCTTGCACTACTATTTCAAATTCTGTTTCTCCTTTTTAATTCTTTTGCATGATACTGTGTTTGCATAAATCGAGGATTTCTATAAATGAGCTCTGGAAAGCTTAGCCTGTTTCAAGGTTATTTAGAGAGCAAAAGGAATGTGTCTTCATGTGTGGGGGCAGGAAAGATGGCACAACCCAGTCAGCTCACTCACTAGCAAACAATGTGTACACTTTGGGAAGCAAGGACATCATTGCTGTGGATGCCAGCGGACAACTTCATCCACTGGAGAAGTTTCTTTTGTCTTCAGTCGGTGCCTAGGGAAACAAGTGGAAAAGGACTAGAAAACAATTTCAAAGACAGATAGCACCAAATTACCTTCCTCTAAGATAAATAAAGGTTCATGCAAATATTGAGACTAATTGCTTAAAACTTGCAAACATCTGCAGAGGAAAATCAATTATCTAATTCATAAAATCACTGCTGAATTAGGAAAGATAGAGGGCATGTCTAATAGAGGTCTTCTCTACATTCCACTGTCCCAGGTACAATGCAATGTACCTAGTACATTGAAATCACTGCACACTTGGGCAATTTGGCCACCTCTGGCCTCAGACTTTGTTGCAGGTGGCTGGGGTGGTACCTCAGCATTTTGAGCAGTCACAGCTATTGGATAAATAGAACTGATCAATAGGTTCTCTCTGGTAAGTCCTACTTCCCACACAGGTAATGCATCTTACCAATAATACACCAAACATTCTTGATAATTCTTTGTAAATTTTTCCCTTTCTAATTTTCTTTAAGATTTTTTATTTGTTGTCTTTTATGTGAACACTTGATTAAAGGGAAATTCCTTGATAGGTTTGTGGGAGATCATGCCAGAAACGGTAGAAATTTGAACCAGTCCCCTGTTTATCCCTTCCAGAGTCTTCAGGATGGCTCGGGGACTGATTTCAGTAACGAAGTACCAACCTGGGGGATGTTTCATTGTCTGCTGTTAATTAATTTGTTTTCCCAATGTTTAGATTCTTCCTGGAGAATAAATTTTTAGCCAAGTGGTGAAGAGATTCTCATTATTTTACTCAGGACTTTGAAGATTGGGTGTACCTTAGCTGAGCTTCCACACTATCACCAAGACATGTGTAGAGAAACTTTTCTCTAGGGGCCACTTCTGCAGAGCACTGACGAATGGAATCAGGAAAAGAAAGGGAGGTTTGAGCTTCTGCACCTACCCTCTGCTAGAAAGGGTCATTTCCTCCTTCATATTTTCTGTTTTCCACTGGACTTTTCAGAGATGTTTTAAGAACCATTTATTGCTGTGAACATTGAACTAATGAAACAAAACAATGAAACTAAATGTTTAGAAATGTTTTTAACTATTTTTACACTTCATAGTCATCCATTGAGCCACAGATTGAGCAGCAATCAACTTGTGAACATAAGAAATTTCTAGGCAAACAATAAATTTCTGTGTACTCTATATCCTCATGCAAAAACAGGTGCCAGAAGAGGCACATATGAAAGCTGAATTACACAACACAGATCTCCTTCTGCAGAAAAGGACAGTAGTAGGAACAACTGGTGCTTCGTTTTCAAATCCAATTCTCATTTATCGTCACAGAATTATTGCACTATCCTGAAACGCAGAGTAACTCAAGACCATGTTCAAAAACAGATTTGACAGACAAAGGTAACTTGCCTTTGTTTTAAACATTTAATAAATGCCTCTGAGACTAACAAAGCTTCCCAGGCGGTCTGTGAGGAACACATGAGCCATATTGCAGGTAACTCCAAGGCAGCCGGCACAACTGCTTAAGGACTTTCCAAATAGCAAAATGCTGCTGATGGAAAATGTGACTCTCAGCACATTGGCATGTGGCTTCTGTGACTGTTATCCAAGGAGAGGAAATGAGACCAGAGTGGGGATGAGTTGGTTTCAGCAACCCTGCCTGGCCACACCTGTCAGATTGAATGACAGAGACTCTAAAATAAAATATTAATACCCATCTCCTGAAAAATAAGCTCACGTGACTTTAATGAATTCATTTTGACTTCTCTTTATCTCACACGGGGATAAAAGCAGTTAAAAACAAACAGTTTGATAATCCTGACAACGGGAAAAAGTAGCATTTTTCTCCCTTCAAACAAATCACTTTTTCTTTATGCATTTTCCTTCAAAATAGTTCTATGCTTTCTTCAGAAAGAATTACACATGACTTGAGATTCCAGTGTATTATTTGGGGTGGGAAAAGCTGGCAACTGAAGCATAAAGCGCCATGTTTTTGCAATTATCTCTCTTTGGCATCCCCCTCATGTGCTCCCTAGTGAAGAGGCAGAGCTGAAATGTGGGGCTGGTCGTCTAAGAAAGAATGTAGTAGTGCTAATGGTGAAAATGTGCTAATTTTAAAAGGTAGTAAAGAGCATCCACGATACAGTTCTGTAGACTCACTTCTTATTTCTCACAAAAATACAGCTGTTTTGCTGTTGATTTTAATGCTACTTAAGTCTATAAAAATATTTTATTCAGACTATAAATAGTTTTGCTCAAATTAGCTTTGGAGCTCAACTGCATTATGCTTCTGCCCTCAGAGGGCAACTTGGAAATAATGGTGAAAAGAATGTGACCTCCAAGATCATCTCATGGGAAAAACGGCATAGTCCAGGTGAGGTTTTCCTCTTCTTATTCTCTTCTATTTTGATACATGAGAAAACAGATGGGGTTTTAAGAATACAGAATGTATCTTTGTTCTTCTTTGCTAAGCTTGAATAGAATTGGTTAAGAATTAAAGAATTTATCAACAAATGAAAATAGCGTAGAACACATGTGTTGTTTTCTAATTAAAATATCTTAAAAATTAATAAACACCAAATGTAGAGGTCTAGATAGAGTCACGCACTAGCATGAACACACACACATACGTAAGTGTGGAGGCGCAGGAGTAGTTTTCTGGGGTGTGTGTGTTTACTCATTACTGCCTCAGAACTACAACAGATATGGTTATGCCAGTCAGGTGTGTAGATGCCTACATTTAACACGCGAGTCTAGTCCTTGAGATATTAAAGTATGGATAGGGAATACAATACCCTGTAGCCTTGTTTTCAAAGGGACATTGACCTTTTCCTTGGTGCTTTTGGGGTAGGAGTGAGGTTAACAAGAGCTGTTAGCTAACTTCTGGGTCTTGGTCTTGGAAATAAGGCCTGGTGGGGAGTTGGAATGGCAGAAGGTGTTGCCAGAGAGGTTTGAGAGCAAGGAAGTCAAAGAGGTGCACAGGAGCCACAGAGAACGGTGAAAGCCAGAAGTTAGTCCTTGGGATGAAGGTGAGGAAATGAGTTTGAGAAACTAGTACAAACTACATATTATAAATGGAAAACTGGGCCAAGGATCGGAAACCAAAGAGACTGGGTACAGATGAAAACTGTAGTATGATACGGATTAAAAATGGACTATGATTGCCGTAGGTTGCTTTTGCTGCTATCACAAAATCCTGAGACTGGGTAATTTATAAAGAATAGAAATTAATTTTTTGCATTTCTGGAGTCAGAGGAGGCCATGATCAAGGTGCTGACATTTTGTGTCTGGTGAGGGCCCTCTTGCAGCATCCTCACTCACATGGCAAAAGACAAAGGGCAGGAAAAGGGCACATTCTCTCCAAAGCCTCTTTTATAAAGGCATTAATCCATTCATGAGAGTGGAGTCTTTATTATTTAATTACTTCCCCAAGGCCCTACCTCTAAATAGCATCACAATGGGGACTAAGGTTGAACATAAATTTTGGAGGTGACATCATCATTTGAACCATGGCATTCCACCCCTGGCCCCCCAGAAATCCATAACCTTGTTACCTACAAAGTACATTCATTCCATTCAAATTGCCCCCAAAGTCTTAACTGTTTCCAGTATCAACTCAAATGTCTAAACTCTAGAACCTCATCTAAATCAGATATGGGTGAGATTCAAGGTACTCTTCATCCTGAAGCAAATTACTCTCCAGCTGTGAGCCTGTGAAATCAAACAATATGTGCTTCCAAAATACAATGATGGGATAGGCATAGGATAGACATTCCCATTCCAAAAGGGAGAAATACGCAAAAAGAGAGGAGTAATAGCTTCCCAAGTAAGTCCAAAATCCAACAAGGCACACAACATTAAACTTTGAAGCTTGAGAACAATCTTTATTGACTCCAGATTGCACCTTCCAGACACACTAGGGTGAAGTTTGGGTCCCCCAGGCTTCAGGGACTCCACCTGCATGGTGTTACTGGGCACAGCCCATACTGCAGCTCTCATGTGCTGGCGTTGAGTGTCTGTGGCTCTCCCCAGGGTGGGGAGTTGCATGATGGTTGCTTTACAGATCTAGCATCTCAGGAGTAGCCCTGCCCCATACAATTCCATGAGGCATTGCCCTTTTGAGGGTTCGCTGCAGTGTCCCTACCCCTGTTGTTGCAGGAAAGGGGTTCGGATCCAGACCCAGAGAGGGTTCTTTGATCTCACACAAGAAATAATTCAGGGAGAGTCCATACAGTAAAGTGAAAGCAAGTTTATTAAGAAAGTAAAAGAATAAAAGAATGGACACTCCATAGACAGAGCAGCCCCGAGGGCTGCTAGTTGCCCATTTTTATGGTTATTTCTTGATGATATGCTAAACAAAGGGTGGGTTATTCATGTCTCCCCTTTTTAGACCATATAGAGTCACTTCCTGACATTGCCATGGCATTTGTAAACTGTCATGGCACTGGTGGAAGTGTAGCAGTGAGGACGACCAGAGGTCACTGTCATAGCCATCTTGGTTTTGGTGAGTTTTAGCCAGCTTCTTTACTGCAACCTGTATTATCAGCAAGGTCTTTATGACCTGTATCATGTGATGACCTCCTATCTCATTCTGTGACTTAGAATGCCTTAACCATTTGGGAATGCAGCCCAGTAGGTCTCAGCCTCATTTTACCCAGCTCCTATTCAAGAATGGAGTTGCCCTGGTTCACATGCCTCTGACCCTGTGGCAATTCTTTGCCAGGGCCCTGCGACTCTCTGAAGCATCCTATGAAATCCAGGTAGAGGTAGCCATGCCTGCACAGCTCATGCACTCTGAGCACCTGCAGAGTTAGCACCATGTGGACACTGCCAAGGTTTGCAGATGTGCCCTCCGGGGGACAGCCTGTGCTGCACCTCAGCTCACCGGAGCCCCAGCAGTGCGGTGACAGGGTGGGGGAAGTGGAGAGAGGAGTGCTGCACTGGAATGCAGGAAGAAGAGACGTGAGGAAGCCCTGGGTCCCTTCCTCCCTTGAAAGGGTCCTGTCTTTAAGGTGGTCCTAGTGCTGTAGGCCTGCGATGAGAGTAGCAGCATTGATTATCTCTGAAATGCCTTTGGGGTTATTCTCCAATTTTCTTAATGAATAGCATCTGGCTTCCTTCTAGCCACACTAATCTCCTCATCAAAAGGTCACTTGGCCACACCCTTGGTTTTCTCTTCTAAGCAATTTTTTATTCTTTACATGGCCAAGCTGGGAATTTTCCAGAATGTTTACGTTCACTTTTCCTTTTGATTATAAATTCCATCTTGAACTTGTTTTTCTCTTCTCACATTTTACTACAAGCAGTTAAGAGAAGTCATGCAGTGCCCTGAACACTCTGCTTAGAGATTACTTCTGTCAAATATCCTAGTTCATAGCTCTCAAATTCTGCATTTCATAAAACAGTAGGACATGGACACAATTTAACCGAGTTCTTCGTCACTTTGTAACAAGGATGGCCTTCCCTCCAGCTTTCAATAATATATTCCTCATTTTTGTCTAAGACTTCATCAAAATGGCTTTCACTGTCTACATTTCTACCAATATTTCTGTTCACATCTTAGATAATCTCCAAGATTTAGGCTCTCTCCATAGCTCTCTTCTTCTGAGCCCTCACCAGAATTGCCCTTAATGCTCTATTAGTGGTAATATAGGTTTTTTTCTGGCATTTATTTCAAAACCATTCTAGCCTCTACCCATTACCGAGTTCCAAAAGTGCTTCTGCATTTTCAGGTATTAAAGCAACACTCCACCTCTTTGGTACCAATTTCTGTCTTAGTTCATTTGTGCTGCTATGACAAAATACTTCAAACTAGGTAATTTATAAAGAGAAATTTATTTCTCACAGTCCTGGAGGCTGGGAAGTTCAGGATCAAGGTGTCAGCATTTGATATATGGTGAGGGCCATCTTGTTGCATCCCTACATGGCAGAAGGCAGAGGGCCATGAAAGGGCACATTCTCTCTGAAGCCTCTTCTATAAGGGCATTAATCCATTCATGAGGCAAGAGCCCTCACAACTTAGTCACTTCCCAAAAGGCCCTGATATGGCTTGGCTCTGTGTCCCCATACAAATCTCATGTTGAATTGTAATCCTTAATGTTGAGGGAGGGACCTGGTAGAGGTGATTGGATCATGGGGGCGGATATCCTCCTTGCTGTTCTCATGATAGTGAGTGAGTTCTCATGAGATCTGGTTGTTTGAAAGTGTGTAGCTCCTCCTCCTCCTCCTCCTTCTCCTTCTTCTTCTCTTTCTCTCTCTCCCTCTCTCCTGCTGCCATGGGAAGATGTGCTTGCTTCCCCTCCGCCCTTCTGCTATGATTGTAAGTTTCCTAAGGCTTCCCCAGCCATGCCTCAGCCTGTGGAACTGTGAGTCAATTAAACCTCTTTTCTTTATAAATCACTCAGTCTCCACCAGTTCTTTATAGCAGTGTGATAATAGATTAATACAGGCCCTACCTCTTAATACTGCCACAGTGGGAATTAAGTTTCAATATAAATTTTGGAGGGGACACCAGTTTTCAAACCACAGCAGTGATGCAAAACAATCAGGATATAGATGGTCATGAGGCAGAAAGGCAGTGAGATGGGAACAGTTATAGAAAATTGTGACACTGGATGAGCACGGAAAGTCTCAGAATGCCTCATGCTGGAACCACAGATTTAACAGACAAAGGAATTGCAAAACTCCGTTTGCTCTGCGGGCCTAGCCTAGGGTTGTCTCCTTATCCTGCGGGGGAGGGGGGAAATCCAGAAGTAAAGACAAGGCCTGACCCACTTAATAAGCCTTTACTGTGTGCGAATTTATGTGTATTTTGTTTTGAATGGTGGTTCATTTACCTTCGGTAATTTTTTTTAAACCTCAAAGAGAAAAATGGTGATAAAACATTTACCTAAATAGATGTAACTATCTTAAACTTTTACTCTTTTCTTATGCCAAACTCAATACGCCAATGCATTCTGAGAAACAAACATACAAGTAAACCCAAATTGGACACTAAAAGCACTTAAAGGCAATGCAGGTCATCCCTGAAGGTGCCTTGCAGAGAGAAGAAAGAGACTGTGTTGTGCATCTTTGGAAAGCGAAGTTTCCTAAAAACCCTCCCTGAACATCTCTTTCCCTCCAGGAATTCCACTCCTTGAGGCAGTGCCCACTGCCTTCCCCCGTCTCCACCTGCTTCTCCTATCTCCTCATCCTCCTTGCCCTCTTCTGCTTAGTTCCTCTTACCTCTCATCTTGGTTTTTGCTCTTAGCCTTTTCTCCTGTAGCACAGTTTGGCCTTCTCAGCGCTTCCCACTCTCTCTACCTATTACCTCTTTCTTTAGCAGAACAAACTTCAGGTACCTAACTTGAAAAAGTGTCCCTTCTCTTTAGAAGACATGAGAAAGGAAGGATTGAAAATACTTAAATTTTACTTTTCTCTGTCACACAAGGAATTCAAATCATTGCTCTGAGTTCCTTGCTCAATATGATACAAATTTGAGTCAAACATTTCAATTTAGATGTTGGGGGGGAGTGGAAAAAAACTGGATACAGCCAGTAGTCCTGGGTTGCTGTCCCAGCCCAGCCACTAAACTGATTGATGTGTCCCCTCATTAAGACTAGACCTTTCTTGAGCTCTGTGCAGCATGATGATGTGGGTCTGGACAATGGGAGCTTCAGGCGTAGCCACTACTTGTGTAGTGCATTACAGATTATAAAGCACATAAATCATCTCATTACATTTTTACATAGTCTGTGAGGCACTGGGGCCCCCATCTGACAATGATAATTGAGGGATTGGGTAATTTGTCCAAGGTCACACAGAGAGTAGCCAAGGCTGTATCAAAACACAGATTCTTTTTTTTTTTTTTTTTTTTTTTTTTGAGACAGAGTTTCTTACTGTCACCCAGGCTGGTGTGCAGTGGCATAGTCATAGGATCACAGCTCACTGCAATCTCAAGCTGCTGGACTTCAGCAATCCTCCTCCCTCAGCCTCCTGAATAGCTGGGTCTACAGGCATGTGCCACTGTGCCTGGCTAATTTTGTTAATTTTTTGTAGAGATGAGGTTTAACTGTGTTACCCAGGCTGGTCTCAAATTCTTGTACTCAAGTGATCCTCTCACCTTGGCCTCCCAGGGCACTGAAATTACAGGTGTGAGCCATCATGCCTGGCCAAACATAGATTTTGACATAGAAGCATGAAATTTTAGTGCATGGAATTTGATGATGCAAATCCCCTCGAAGACCCTTTTATTTATCCACCAAAACACACAGTCAAATACGTTTATCATCAGTGAAACCCAACAGCTTCATGGACAACAGATATTTCTGTTGTATTTTAACTCTTTATAAAAATTCATTCCCACCTATTAATTGTATTAGCATAGGACTCAATATTTCTTCCACTTTAATTGTCTTATATTTTGTATGAAATGATTGCATTAGTCTGTTCTCACACTGCTAATAAAAACATACCTGATACTGGGTAATTTATAAAGGAAAGAGGTTGAATTGACTCAGTACAGCATGGCTAGGGAAACCTTAGGAAATTTACAATATGGCAGAAGGGGAAGCAAATACATCCTTCTTCACATGATGGCAGGAAGGAGAAGTGCAGAGTGAAAGGTGGGAGGGAAAGCCCCTTATAAAACCATCAGATCTTGTAGGAATTCACTCACGGTCATAAGAACAGCATGGAGGTAAAAACCCCTATGATCCAATTACCTCCCACTGGGTCCCTCCCATGACACATGGGGATTATGGGAACTACAGTTCAAGATGCAATTTGAGTGGGGACACAGGCAGACCATATCACTGATACTATACAGAAGGCACTGCTGTCAGAGAGTTAACGTGCTGGTTCCAGACTTTTCAAAATGTGCTTGCATAAGCATCACTGGGGAGCTTATTAGAATGCAAATAACCAGGCCCCTATTTGAGACATTCAGGTGTCTGGAGTTGGAGCCCAGGTGACTGATGCAATGGCCCATGGCCCACATATTTTAAAATGCTGCTCTTATTCATACCGCATGTATATCCACAGCAACCGAGTTTTCTTGAAATAGTCAGAACAGACCATTTCTTTCATGAAGTGCCTTGAGGTTGAAGAGAGAGAAAAAATCCACATCACAACCTCTCTGATATTGGCCCTGTGATGGTATTGGAAATCAGGTGTTCCATTTAAAACATTTTCCCTCCTTGGAGATCATTTTCCTTTAAAGCAAACATTAAGCTTTCGTGTTATTGTGAAATAGTTTTTGTGGGGTAAAAAATTATTTTGGAGTTCGGGGAATTTCCCAGACAGATCTGCAAGTGGGGGAACCCAATGAAGAACAAAGGAGGCATGGAAAAGGAAAAAAGAAATACTACCAAGGGCAAGGTGCCTCAGCATGGGTTCATGTTCACATGGGAAGTTTTAGGAAAATATGAATGCCCTGGTCCCACCCTCAAGGATTCTGCTGTAATTGGTCTGGGTGCAGCCTAAGCATCGGGATTCATAAAACTTTCCAGATGATTCCAGTGCAGCCAAGGTTGAGAACCATTGCTTTACAGTTTTTTTTCCCTGCTAACTCTGCTTAGCAAAAAGATGTGAGGTTTGTATCGGGATGAAAGCTGCGGTTGTAAAACGGAGCATCCAGTGAGCTCAAATGGGACTACAAAACCTTATTTTCTATGTTGCTGCTCTCCTGGGGACATTGGAGATGTTGATCTGATCAAATGTAAAGTTTTTAATAAAACAGCTTTTTGTCTTGCACTTTGGTTTTTGATGGCATCAATGAAAATTCAATAGATCTAGGTAATAGCAAAATGGTTGCAAGCCCTTTGGTGTTTAATATGCATGTAAATGTTTATGATTTATTGAAATGTGAACTACCAAGGGTCTCCTACCCCGCAAATGGAGTCTTTAACCGCGTGCGGGCCAGCTGCTTATAGAAAAGAGGGCAGTTCTCTTTTCTCTTTGTGTTGCGCGAATTGGGTTTGTGAGTTTTCATGATTTCCACACACGTAAAATCTCAGCCATAATGTTGCATTTCCATTAACTTAGTGGATTACAGTTGTGTGTTCTGGCATGACTTCCAGCAATAGTCCCCACACTGTTGAAGCCTTGCTGTTTGACGCCGACCTATAAAATGTGTTATAAATGATCTAAAATAAGGGAAAGGAAGGAAAAATAAAACCAGCCACAAAGGCATTTCAAAATGAGGTAAGATTTGGAATGGCTTTGGCACGTGCGGTGTTCTATAAAGTCAAGTCCAAGAAGCAGCCTTTCTTTTATTTTTAAGATACTTGCAAATGAAGCAGTAATATTGATAAGATAAAAGACTGGAGATTGTGACTCCATAGCAAAAGAAATCTTACACAGAAAGAACCAAGAGGCCATTTCCTTAGAGTTTACCTTGTACACACTATAGTCAGATGCAGGCAGTCACAGAAATCTCTAGGCTGTGTCTTCACCATGATCATGTAGTTACATAAAGACATATAAGACAGCAGTCAGGACACACTACAACAAAACGCCTCATTGGCACATGCTCCGTAACCAGTTGAATGGCTAAAAATGGCATCATCGACATTCTTTCAAATAACAAGCTTACAAGTGCAAATTCAAAAATAAAATGTCCCAACCACCACCTCCTATCAAACCAGATCCCAGGGCCACCTGCAGAGAAGATGTCTGTTTCAAGTCCAACAAACATCTTCCAGACATGTATATGCCACAGACCTTGGCTTTTCAATGAGAAGATGTATAGAGCCATCATTAAGAGCTCAGCTTTAGAGTCAGGTAAAGATGATTTTGACTCCTTGCTCTGTTATTTACTAACTGTGTGACTACATTAGGTACTTATCCTCTTGAAGAATCAGTTTGTTAATTAGAAAGTCAGGATAATAATATCTACTACTTCATAGGATTGTTGTAAAGTCCAAGTGAAATCATGAAGAGCCTAGTCAGTTGCACAGGACAGATTAGCTGCTCTATCTCAGCAGCTGCAATGGCCACATTCTCATGGTGTTACCTTAGAGCTGCCATCCAGTGGATGGTGAATATAGGGGAAAAAGAAAAGCAAAAATCTTTCCAATTTTTTGCTTTATAGATGTATTTTCTCTTTTATATCATTATCTTTGTTGCCAGCATTCACTTTTGGGTTTCTTTGATGTTTTTTACCCAAAATTTTTATTTTGGGTAGTAAATTTTCTGACACTGGGTCATTTTCTTCATTTTACTAGTTACCGAGTAAACTAGAAAACTAATACTAGTTTCTCCACAAGAGAAACACTAAGTATAATAACACAGAGTGACAGAGAGAAAGAGCAAGAGAGAGAGAGAATGTTCTGGGTTAAATTTTAGTAAAGTGAAATCCTTGTAATTTCACAGTTCCCAAAACTAGGCTAGAAGCTGATGCTGGAATGGTGGGGGGTGGGGCAGCTATGTCTTTTCTACTCTTGACCTCCTTGCATTTAACATGTGGTCAATACATATTTACAGAAGTAAATGAATGAATTCATTGTGCTCTGTTCTGTCCTTACAAATATTTGGGTGAACTGAAAATCTTGCTCTGAATAGTTCCATTCCTAAAGAAGTCATTAATATTTATCCCAAAAATGCTGGCTTCAAGGGCATCTGAAATATTCAGCACTTTCAAAGTAGTTTACCTGTGCATAATACCATTGCCAATGTGTTGGCCACAAACTTTATTATAAATGGGGTGGACAGTTATGAGCACTTTTTGGCTACTAAGCATTTGGGGCCCCTTCCCATATTGGGGAAATCTTCTACTATGTGAGTCATAATTTGAAGTGGAATGCCACTTCTCAGAATTCCTGAATATCCTTGTTCTCCCAGACCCCTAGCAACTGGTAGGGACCTAAACTCAGCTCCACAGATAATCACCATGGGATTCTAGAGTCTGGACTAAGTATGACCCAAGGAGAAGAGACAGTTGACAACATCCTCCTGAATCAGGGGAAGTACTGACTTCTGATGTCCAGTTTCTAGAGAGACATTAGAGTCAGTCATACAACCAGGTGTTCATCTTCAGTGCTGTGACCCCCTGTGTGCTCTGACTAAATTCTCACCTGGTAGACTCCTTATGTCTCTACCTGTTTTCTGCCTGTGTATTAGTCCATTCTCACACTACTATAAAGAAATATCTGAGACTGGGTAATTTATAAAGAAAAGTGGTTTCATTGGCTGACCATTCTGCAGGCTATACAGGAAGTATGGCTGGGGAGGCCTCAGGAAACTTGTAATCATGGTAGAAGGCAAAAAGGAAGGAGGTACATCTTACATGGCCAAAGCAGAAGGAAGAGAGAGAAATGCCACACATTTTTAGACAACCAGAGCTTGTGAAAACTCACTATCACAACAACTGCAAGGGGAAAGTCCATTCCCATGATCCAGTCACCTCCAACCAAGCCCCCCTCCAACACTGGGGATTACAATTCAACATGAGATTTTGGTAGGGACACAAATCCAAGCCATATCACCCAGTGTTCCAACTTTTGGTTAAGTCTGTAATCTACAACAAAGTCCTTACACAAAAGTTGGTTTATATTGTTTTCAACCAAAATCCTTGGCAACCACCATGAGGGTGGATGTGGTTTCATGAAAGATGAATGAGGGCATGTGACCCTTTTAAAGCAACCAGTCTTCTAAAATCAGTTATTATCCTTATTTAATAACACTAGTCAGGGTCCTTGTTCTCTTTTATATCCTACAATCCACCCAATCCCTAGCATGGAATGGGTGCTCAATATTTTTGTTGAATAAATAAATGAAGAAAATGTAATAACTAAAACTAAGAACTCACTAAATGAGCTTGACACCAGATTGGACATGCAAAAGACAGGTAAGCTGGAAGAGAGTTGAGTAGAAAATTTTCAGGCTGTATAAACTGCAAAGACATATAAGTTTGCGGCTTATGTCCCCATGAAACTTACAATCTGGCTAAGAAGAGGAGACTGACGTCCAAGAAATGATTTACAAACAATAAAAGACAGAATTGCATATAAATAAGGGGTAAGTGGGGAAAAGTGATGGAGGAATGTACGTATTGTATAGGTTTGACATTCCTCCTTTAGTGTTTGTCAAATTATCCCTCATTTGCCAAGGATAAAGATGTGGGCAGGAAATGATCCGGAACAGAATACCCATGTTCTCCCAGTATTAGTTTGAAATGATGTCAGCTGAAGCATTCATTCTCTGGGATCTGTGTATCGACAGAGCCATAATACCAGGTTTGTCAGGCAAAATTGAGGTTTAGTTCATAAAAGATTGTTGTACTGTCTAATTAGAGAGGATGAGGAACTAGAAATCCTGTTCAATAACATTCCCGATCTCAGTTAACTTCTGTGGAAAACACTGAGTCCCACCGAGAATACCATTGTTCCTATCTGTACCAGCCAGGCAAACTAGGATAATTTAAGGAGGATTTCATGCAGAGGCTGTTTTCAAATGTTATGGGAAAATCAGAAGCATTATATAATACCCTGGGGGTGTTACCTTCTCAAGGGGAGAAGTGGATGGAATGACTACCAAGAACAAGGAGAAAGTCAGGTAGAGATGGCCACCTAGGAGGAACTGTGACCTTGAATCAAGGGAGTCAGCCTTCCTGCTGACTGAAAACCCTGCTGAAAGGGAGCTTAGAAAATGAACACCTTGACCTGATCTCTTCCCTAACCAATTGAATAAACCTAACCAGAAGCCAGAGGGCAAGAAAGTCTGCTGGCATTCATTGAGGTCAGCCTCCAGAGGCAGAGAGCAGGGTGGAAGAGGGTGAACAATTAATTTGGAAGGGAAAAAGAACATTATCTAACATATTATAAAACAGAGTTTTCAAAGTAATATACCCCTTACCTAATTTGGGGGATACATGAAGATTTTCCTAGGGGTATGTGGCAAGAACAGCTTTAAGTCTATCAAGTTCCAGATCCTCCAGCTGCATTTGTATTCTTTCCTAATATTAATCTGCCTGAGAATATGCCTTTGGTTATGGCCACTTCTTTCCTACTATCCCTTTTACAAATGCCCTTATTCACCTTAAAAAAAAAAAAAGAAAAAGAAAAAAGAAAAAGAAAGAAAAGACAGCCGGGCACAGTGGCTCACGCCTGTAATCCCTGCACTTTGGGAGGCCGAGGCGGGTGAATCACCTGTCAGGAGTTCAAGACCAACCTGGGCAACATGGTGAAACCCCATCTCTATTAGAAATACAAAAATTAGCTGGGTGCGGTGGAGTGTGCCTGTAATCCCAGCTACTAGGGAGGCTGAGGCAGGAGAATCACTTGAGCCTGGGAGGCGGAAGTTGCAGTGAACAGAGATTGCACCACTGCACTCCAGCCTGGGCAACAGAGCAAGACTCCATCTCAAAAAAAAAAAAAAAAGAAAGAAAGAAAGAAAAGAAAAGAAAAGACATATCTTACTTATCTGGAACAAAAGGCATGCCTCTTATCCATACTTATGTATTACCCTTACCTACGAACACTTCTAAAGTGACAAAGGTACAATTTGAAAAAGAGTCTGTGAACTATCTTTTATCCAAATATATAACGTATTTCATTTATTGTGACTGTGTACCAACACATTTGCAATGGTTACTCAAACCAGAAGAACATTTTTTTAGCAGTTACAGCAGTGATTCCCTTCACATTATAACTACTTGAAGAGATTTAAAGACATCTCAGTGCCAAGGCTGCACCCCAGATCAATTAAGTTAGAATCTCTAGGGTTAGGACAAAAATTACATCGGCAATTTTTAAATGTTCTTAGGTAATTCAACTATGTAACATTGAGAAATACAGAATTAGAGACTTAACGAATTAGAGACTATTGATAATAGAATGTTAAATGTTTTAAAAATATTGTATGTGTCCATTTTGTTTCAGAAAACTATTATAGGGTGATGCATAGACATTTTAGTAAAAAGTTATACCACATTAGGATCCTAAATCACATAGGATTCCTATGGAGGAAGCAGAATAAAATATGGACATAAACCAGTTCAAAGAACAAAAGGAACAATGTAAAATTTCCAGCATTGTAGAGCTTTTTTTTAAAAAAAGGATAATGGTGTTTATCAAATCATTGTCACATTGTGCTAAGATAGAGTAGCTTCCAGCAGACCATGTTTCTGATGAAGCAACTAAAAAAGCTAAATAAAAGACAAACAAAAATTCTCTTAGAGGTATCAAAGATATACTAAAGCAACCTAGACTTCATGGGCCATGATCTCAGAGGAAAGGAAGAAGAATGAGCTAACATTCACTGAAACAAATTTCCCCATGAGCCATTTGTTGATTCTAGTCCTGGACAGGAGGCTAAAAACCAAAGTAGAACAACATGGAGGGGAGACATAGAAGCCAGCAGAGTTTTAGGCAATCTGATGGGCTGCAGGGACAAAAATAATACTTATGGGAGTGAAGACATCTAGGGCTTGAGGGGCTAAGATCGAGGAAGAAGAAAATACAAATAAATATGGCCAATACTTAGTGTTTTTTTCCCTCAGAGGAATTTGCCAGAGTAGAATTCTGTGTAACTATGCAAAAAGTTTCTGAAAAGCAGAGTGGTATGTTAGCTGTCTCAGAGAGCTGAAAGGAAAAATATTTAGAAACCTCCAAAGAAGCATCCCAAATCCTCGGTGAGGCTGCTATATGCTATACACTGCAGGGCAAAGAGAAAAAGAATTGACTAGACCTCACAAAACTGAAACTCAGCCTCAAGTCAGTTTAGTCATTGATTGGATTGAAATAATCTGTGTCACCCTGGCTGCCTATCAAAAAATAAAAATGATGCCCCTCCAGAAGAAGGCAACATCATCCATAGCCTCTGTACTTCCTCTTACATTCACTCAAAAATTCTTCCATTCACTCAAAAATTGCTAAGCAGGCTGGCAAAGCTATGGAGACAATAAATAGATCAGATGGTGACTGCCAGAGGTAAGGATGGAGGGAGGAACAAATAAATGGAGCACAGAGGATTTTTATAGTAGTGAGACTATTCTGTCTAATAGTATAGAGGTGGATAAAAGTCATTATATGTTTGTCAAACCCACAGAATAAACAACAACAAGAATGAACTCTAATGAAAACCATGGACTTTGGGTGATAAGGATGTGTTAATGTAGATTCAATGATTGTAACAAATGTACAACACTGGGGTAGGATGTTAACAATGGGGGACACTGTGCAAGTGTGTGTGTGGGCAAGCGGAAGATGGTAACTCACTGTTCTTTCTTTTCAATTTTGCTGTAACCCTAAAAGTTCTCTAAAAAGTAGTTTATTTTAAAAGATTGGCAAGCATATCAAGAAATGAAACCAAAAAGCAAATAAAAGAATTATAGATGGCCCGTTTATTGAAACAGACTTTAAAATGTATGTGATGGACATGTTCAAGAAAATAGTTATTAAAGTGAAGAATTTCAGCTGGAAACTAAATATTTTGAAACATCAAATGGAAATTATGAAAGTGAAACATTTAATATTTTAAATAAGGAACTCAATAGAAGATTTTGACAGCAGATTGGATATGCAAAAAAAAAAGTTAGTGAACTAAAAGACAGAATAATAGATATTCTAGAGAGAAAGAGAAAAAAAGAGATATCTGGGGCATAATGAAATTCGTCTACAGATGTAAACACACCTCCAGGATGAAAATCCTTCCTCCAGAATGAAAAGTGCTACAAACTAAAGTAGAGTTAATACAAAGAAAATGACATCTAGGCATATTAGAGGAAAAAACTGTTAAAACCAAAGACAAAAGATAAAAATTTAAAAGCAAGCCAAAGAAAAAAGGCATTATCTTTAAATGAGCTACAATAAGATGGACAGCTGACTTGTCTACAGAGGGCAACAGAAAAAACACCTTTATAGTATGGGAAGAAAACAACTGTCATCATAGAAATCTATACCTGGTAACAATATCTGTTATAAAAACAAGGCAAAATGAGGATTTTTTAGCCCTTCAAAAATAGATAATTCCTCACTAGCAGATGTTTACTGAAAGAAATGCTGAGAATTTTTACAGCAAAAGGAAAAATAATATAATATCTCCTCCTCCCCAAGCAAAGGAAAAGAATACAATGTCAGAAGGAGTCAAAACCAAACAGATTGATAAATACAAAAAAAAATTGACTATATGGAACAATAATAATAATGAGTTGTGGTATCAAAAGTATATGTAGAGTTAAAATCCCTGGGAAAGTAACATAAAAGGCGGAAAGTAAATAGAGTAAAAGTGCTCCAAGGTCCTATCTGGGAATGGATAAATATACTAATTTATATTAAGACTACAAAGAATTCAAGATATATGCGATAATCTCTAGGATAATCACCAAAGAACAATATAAATGTACAATTACCAATATAATAAAGCAAAAAATGGAACAATAAAAATATTTGATTAATACAACCAAAGGCTAGAAAAGAGAGAAAGGGAACATAGAAAGTAAAAACTGAAGTGTATAAAAATCGCATTAAATATAAGAAACTAAATACTCAAAATAAAAGACAAAAATTCTCAGGCTAGATTTTTTAGAAAACAGATTCTTCTTCTAAAAGCCATGTATTAGGAATAAGGCCACAGAAAAGTTGTTAGTAAAAGAATGGAAAAGATAACATGGTAATAATAAACAAAGGAAAGCTGGTGTAGCTATACTTATATCATAGTAGCCTTTAAATAAAAAGGCAAGAAACATTACTAAAAATAGAGATAGTTTATAAGATATAAAAATTCTATATCTGTATACAATGAATAACATAGCCTCAAAATACAAAAAGCAAAAGTTGAAAGAACTAGGTGGAGAAATAGAAGTGGATGACTAACATCCATCTCTCACCATTTGCAAATCAATCAACAACAAATTAATGACATAAATCTGAACAACACAATTAACAAACTTAACTGACATATATAGAACAACGTACTTATTAAAAAAGAATTCACATTCCTTTCAAGTACATTTAAAATATTTACCCATATCAACTATATTTGGCTATGAAATAAACCTCAATGCATTTAAAAGGATTAAACTCATTCAGAATATATTATCTGAAATTAAGCTAGTCATTAGTAACATAAAGTAATTATCCAAATACTAAGATTTTCTTTTTGTAAATTAAGCATCCAATTCTAAATAATCCAAATGAGAAAATCACAATGAAATCAGAAGATATTTTGAAATTAATGATAACAAAAATATGGCATTATTTTTTAAATGGAATAAAAACATTATGTATATGAAGTTGTAGGATACACATAACAATGCTAAGAGAGAAATTATATATTTAAATACATATATTAGAAAACAAAAAAGAATGAAAGTCTATGATGTAATTATTATGTAAGTTTAGAGAAAGGACAAGTTAAACCCACAAAAATTACTAGGAAGGCAAAAATAATTTTTTAAAGTAGAAATTAATAATATTGAAAATACCAGTAAGAAGTTGAATCTCTGAATAGACCAATAACAGGTTCTGAAATTGAGGCAATAATTAATAGCTTACCCACCAAAAAAAGTCCAGGACCAGATGGATTCACAGCCGAATTCTACCAGAGGTAAAAGGAGGAGCTGGTACCATTCCTTCTGAAACTATTTCAATCAATAGAAAAAGAGGGAATCCTCCCTAACTCATTTTATAAGGCCAGCATCATCCTGATACCAAAGCCTGGCAGAGACATAACAACAAAAGAGAATTTTAGACCAATATCCCTGATGAACATCGATGCAAAAATCCTCAATAAAATACTGGCAAACCGAATCCAGCAGCACATCAAAAAGCTTATCTACCATGATCAAATGGGCTTCATCCCTGGGATGCAAGGCTGGTTCAAAATACACAAATCAATAAACGTAATCCAGCATATAAACAGAACCAACGATAAAAACCATATGATTATCTCAATAGATGCAGAAAAGGCCTTTGACAAAATTCAACAACCTTCATGCTAAAAACTCTCAATAAATTAGGTATTGATGGGACATATCTCAAAATAATAAGAGCTATCTATGACAAACCCACAGCCAATATCATACTGAATGTGCAAAAACTGGAAGCATTCCCTTTGAAAACTGGCACAAGACAGGGATGCCCTCTCTCACCACTCCTATTCAACATAGTGTTGGAAGTTCTGGCCAGGGCAATCAGGCAGGAGAAGGAAATAAAGGGCATTGAATTAGGAAAAGAGGAAGTCAAATTGTCCCTGTTTGCAGATGACATGATTGCATATCTAGAAAACCCCATCGTCTCAGACCAAAATTTCCTTAAGCTGATAAGCAACTTCAGCAAAGTCTCAGGATACAAAATCAATGTGCAAAAATCACAAGCATTCTTATACACCAATAATAGACAAACAGAGAGCCAAATCATGAGTGAACTTCCATTCACAATTGCTTCAAAGAGAATAAAATACCTAGGAATCCAACTTACAAGGGATGTGAAGGACCTCTTCAAGGAGAACTATAAACCACTGCTCAATGAAATAAAAGAGGATACAAACAAATGGCAGAACATTCCATGCTCATGGGTAGGAAGAATCAATATCATGAAAATGGCCATACTGCCCAAGGTAATTTATAGATTCAATGCCATCCCCATCAAGCTAACAATGACTTTCTTCACAGAATTGGAAAAAACTACTTTAAAGTTCATATGGAACCAAAAAAGAGCCCGCATTGCCAAGTCAATCCTAAGCCAAAAGAAGAAAGCTGGAGGCATCACGCTACCTGACTTCAAACTATACTACAAGGCTACAGTAACCAAAACAGCATGGTACTGGTACCAAAACAGAGATATAGACCAATGGAACAGAAAAGAGCCCTCAGAAATAATGCCGCACATCTACAACCATCTGATCTTTGACAAACCTGACAAAAACAAGAAATGGGGAAAGGATTCCCTATTTAATAAATGGTGCTGGGAAAACTGGCTAGCCATATGTAGAAAGCTGAAACTGGATCCCTTCCTTACACCTTATACAAAAATTAATTCAAATGGATTAAAGACTTAAATGTTGGACCTGAAACCACAAAAACCCTAGAAGAAAACCTAGGCAATACCATTCAGGACACAGGCATGGGCAAGGACTTCATGTCTAAAACACCAAAAGCAATGGCAACAAAAGCCAAAATTGACAAACGGGATCTAATTAAACTAAAGGGCTTCTGCACAGCAAAAGAAACTGCCATCAGAGTGAACAGGCAACCTACAGAATGGGAGAAGATTTTTGCAATCTACTCATCTGACAAAGGGCTAATATCCAGAATCTACAATGAACTCCAACAAATTTACAAGAAAAAAACAAACAACCCCGTCAAAAAGTGGGCGAAGGATATGAACAGACACTTCTCAAAAGAAGATATTTATGCAGCCAAAAGACACATGAAAAAATGCTCATCATCACTGGCCATCAGAGAAATGCAAATCAAAACCACAATGAGATACCATCTCACTCCAGTTAGAATGGTGATCATTGAAAAGTCAGGAAACAACAGGTGCTGGAGAGGATGTGGAGAAACAGGAACACTTTTACACTGTTGGTGGGACTGTAAACTAGTTCAACCATTGTGGAAGTCAGTGTGGTGATTCCTCAGGGATCTAGAACTAGAAATACCATTTGACCCAGCAATCCCATTACTGGGTCTATACCCAAAGGATTATAAATCATGCTGCTATAAAGACACATGCACATGTATGTTTATTGTGGCATTATTCACAATAGCAAAGACTTGGAACCAACCCAAATGTCCAACAATGATAGACTGGATTAAGAAAATATGGCACATATACACCATGGAATACTATGCAGCCATAAAAAATGATGAGTTCATGTCCTTTGTAGGGACATGGATGAAGCTGGAAACCATCATTCTCAGCAAACTATCACAAGGACTAAAAACCAAACACTGCATGTTCTCACTCATAGGTGGGAATTGAACAATGAGAACACATGGACACAGGAAGGGGAACATCACACACCGGAGCCTGTTGTGTGGTGGGGGGAGTGGGGAGGGAAAGCATTAGGAGATATACCTAATGTTAAATGACAAATTAATGGGTGCAGCACACCAACATGGCACATGTATACATATGTAACTAACCTGCACGTTGTGCACATGTACCCTAAAACTTAAAGTATAATAAAAAAAAAAAGAAAAAGAAAATACATATATAATAGAGTCAACAAAAGTACTTATTTCATAAGATTAATAAAATTAATAAACTTCTGACAAGAACTGTCAAGAAAAAAAAAGGCTGGGTGGGTGGCTTATGCCTGTAATCCTAGCACTTTCAGAGGCTGAGGTGGGTAGATCATTTGAGGTCAGAATTCAAGACCAGCCTGACCAACATGTTGTAACTCCGTCTCTACTAAAAATACAAGAAAATTAGCCGGGCGTGGTGGTATATGCCTGTATTCCCAGCTACTCTGGAGGCTGAGGCAAGGGAATTGCTTGAACCCGGGAGGCAGAGGTTGCAGGGAGCCGAGATCGCATCACTGCACTCCAGCCTGGGCAATAGAGCAAGATTCTGGAAAAAAAAAAAAAAAAAAAAACAAAGTAAAAAGAAAAGAAGGAAGAAGGGAAGGGCGGGGAAGGGCGGGGAAGGGTGGGGGAGGGGAGGGGGAGGGGAGGCAAGGGGAGGGGAGGGGAGGCGAGGGGAGGGGAGGCGAGGGGAGGGGAGGGGAGGCGAGGGGAGGGGAGGGGAGGGGAGGGGAAAGTCATATATTACCAATATCATGAGTAAAAAATGGGATATTACCACTGATTTTTTTAGACATTAAAAAGATAGGATGACTTCTTGTTTCACTTTCAACAAGAGCCTAGAAGTTGTCGCTTCCATCCTTGCAACAACTACAAAAAAACACTAAACAAACTGAAAATAAATGACTTTTCTTAGATCCATCAAAAAACTGAGGTTGCAAGACAAACTGCTACTGTGAAATTTGAAGAGATAAGTGAATACAGAGAATCACAGTTGAGATCAGCTCACCTTAAGCAGAAGCCACTTGGAGCCATAAACTGTAGGAACACTTAATTGTTGAGGAACTGCTACAGTATGCCTGTGGACTAGCTTAAGAGTGGGTGAACTTCTGGGGACTCAGTTTTGTGGGTTTTACTGCCAGGGACCAAATCAAATTCTCATGGTGAAGATAGCCAAATAGAAACATAACCACAAATATAAGGTTGCCTAATTTATAACAAAGATGGCCTTGCAGTGTTGTGGAAATATATGCCATTTTAGTAAATATTCTTGGGTCAATTGGCTATGAAGCAGGGGAGAATTACTTTTACTTCTGCCTCACACAGTACACAAAAGTCAATTCAAATTGATTTTTACCTAATTAATTATGTAATACAGTAGTAATTTTATATTATATCATATTGAGATTATATTTATATTTATGTGAATGCTGAAATAATATAACCTCTAGAGGAGTACTTGCAAGAACATTTTCATAATCTTGAGTTGGCAGAAATTTCTTATACAGGATATAAAAGGTACTAACCATACAGGAAAATAGTTAAAAATTGGTACACATTAAAATTAATAACTTGCATATAAAAGACACCACTAGTAAAATTGAAAGCCAAAGAATGAAATAGGATATTTGCAATATGTACATCAAAGAGCTTATATAGAGACTATACAGAGAGTACCAACAGATCAATAAGAAAAAGAATAACCCAATAGAAAAATGGAAAGAGACTTACAAAAAAGGATATCCAAAGAACCAAAAAATTTGAAAAGTGCTCAAATTTTATACTCACTAGAATAGGTAAAAGGAAAAATAAACAGAGACTATCAAATGATGCAGAGCAGCTAAAACTCTCACATACTTCTAATAAAAAGATAATTTGGTACAAATACCCTGAAAAATGTCTGAATATATGACAATATATAAAAAAAGCTGAATATATGCATGACCCAATCTTCCAACAGTTTCACTGTTAGACATACAACTAACATAAATGTTTACATACATCACAAAAAAGCATGAATAAAAATATGTACAGCAGCACTGCCCATAATAGCCTCAAATTGAAAATAATTCAAATGTACACTAAAAATGTAATAAATAAATTGCAGTATATTCCTACTAAGGACTACAACACAGCAAGGAGAATGACGTATTTCTACTCCCAACAATAAATTCCATAAACTTAATACTGAGCAAAAGAAGCCATATTCAAAAGCATAACTACTATATAATCCCATTTACATAGAGTTTAAAAACAGGAAACTAATCTGTGATACTAAAGTCCCAATAATGGTTACCTTTGTGGCAAAGGACTGTCTTAGAAGGAGCGAAGAAGAACTTCTTAAACTGTTTGTCTGTTTGCTGGTTACATGAGTGTCTTAACTCTGTGGAACCAGTGGGATGTACACTCATAATTTGGTACATTTTTAAATGTTATATGTCAATCAAAAATTTGTTTTTAAATGATCACTATGGTATTTTGATGTCATTAGTACTTTTCAAAAAATGAAGTAATGGTTCTATTTTTCAATGTCATTCATTTATAACACACAGGAAAATGATATCCTTTGTAATCATTTATAGTGTTAATGAAAAATTTTAGATGTTAACTTAAAAATTTATGAAAAAGTATGTATTTTTTCTTTAAAACCTTTGAATGTATATCTGAGAATAAAGCTTATTGACCACTACTATAGTGTGTGAAACTCAGTAGAAGAGGCTGAGCCTTACTTAGGTGCTGTTTTGATAAGGAGCTGTGGACCTGTATATATTTCCCAAAATAGGTCTCCAGTCAGCAAAAAATTAGAGTATACTGAGGATACTTACAAATGATATAAGTAGAAACTATTTTTTAGCTAACAAGAAGTTTTAGGTAATTTAATGGTTGTATGCCACACCAGCAGAACTCTGGGTTGTCAAATATACACTCTACAGAGCAGTTGGTCACATATGTGCAGAAGTCCTTACTAGGATCAGCAATGATTTTTCTTTGTTTTTTTTTCCTGCCCCTCCATGTTAGTAATAGAAATGGAGACAACAGTAATAAGAGGTGAGAGAATCAACCTTTGCTCCAATCATTTCTAGTTTTATAGTAAATTGTTCCCTGTTATGCAGGTGAGGCAATGTCTTCGGTCCCATCTTTGGGCATATTTGGAGATAAGCCAATTACTTGTTCTAATTCTTCTTTTTCTGGAACTTTCTAAGCCTAGATCTTGGATCATAGCACTCTGCTCTTCTCCCCTCTTCCTATGCTTGAAATCTTCAAGAAACTCTCCACATAAAAGTTACTGGCCAGCTTTATATCTGCCTCTCTGCTGATATCCTTTATTTTTGAAAACTCAGAATCTCTTTACCCTCCTTTCCCCTCATTCCTTCACCCAGGATTGTGAGCTCGTCTCCTTTCTCTGGTTTCTGCTTCATCCATTGTGCCATTCTTCTTCTATGTGTTGTTAATGCCCTGCTTCCAATCAATTCTTCCTTTTTGTTTTAACCTCAGGCCAAGGTTTATTCCTCCTCAAAATTTTTCCCTTGTTTTTATTATCCCCTTGAGTACCAAACTTTGCTGTTAATTTTTCTGAAAGAATAGTCTCGACTTAGAAACATCACTTTCATTCCAAACATTTGCTATGTAAATTAATGTTGTCTGGATCCTGCCCTGTAATTCCACAGAAACTCCTATGACAAAGTTGTCAATGACCTCATAATGGATAATTCCAAAAACCTATTCCAGGCCTAGCTTTTTTGACTCACCTTTGTCATTTTCCTCTTCACACCAGCCTCTCCTCCTTTGAACTACATTTTATTTGATACTGAGGAACTTCGCTCACCCATTTCTTTCTCTCTCATTGACTCCTTTTATGACTTCATCACTTCCTCTTGTCATCTAGCCATGTAAAAGAAGGAGCTCCTTTGGGCATTGTGCTGAGAATGTCTCTCTTTGTGTCCCCTCCCCAGCCCTACTATTTTTCTGCTCATCACCCCATTCATTCTCATAGTGTTGGCCTTACAGATATAAACTCCAATTAGATCTTGTCAATGAGACTTGGGGCCTCAATAGGGTGCTCTTGAGTAATATGTGTTGACTCCTAAATCACTTATATATTTATTTACTTTACAAGATGATGTTTATATGGTTTTTGGTTTTTGTTGGTTTTTGATATTTTTTTTTCTTTTGAGACAGGGTCTTGATCTGCCACCTAGGCTGGAGTGCAGTGGTGCAATCATGGCTCACTGCATCCTCAAACTCCTGGGCTCAAGCGTTCTTCTTGCCTCAGCCTTCTGAGTAGCTGGGACTACAGGTATGCACTACTGCACCCAGCTAATTTTTGTGTATTTCTTTTCTTTTTTTTTTTTTGGTCAGATACAGGCTTTCACCATATTGCACAAGCTGATCTGAAACTCCTGGGCTCAAGCCATCCACCCACCTCCACCTTCCAAAGTGCTGGGATTTATAGGCATGAGTCACTGTGCCAGGCCATATATGGTGTTTTGCTTATATGTTTTCAATTTTAAGGTACCCAAGGGCAAGCACCATGCATAACTAACTTTCCACATTTCAAAAATGATGATGGTGGTGATTTTAAAGCTTCCTCTTTCTTACCTTGTTGACTCTCACAGTGTCATCTGAAGGGGCCATTTCTCCTGGTTACCCTAGCTTTTTACCAGTGACTTGGTCTCTTCCTGTAGTGGCAACACACGTGAAGCCAGTCAGAAAGAAACAGTGCTTCTCTAGCAGCATGAATCAGCAGCCACAAGTTTGCATTTTGGAAATAGTTTTGGCAGTGAGGGAAATTATCCTGAGTTAATTGGTGCTGTTATCTCTAAGTGGAAAGAAGGAGTCATCTGAGGGTGGGGTGGGGCAGAATGAAATCAGTGGAGGGCTAGCAATTAGGCCAACTCAGCAGCAGCATGGGAAAGGTTAGAAACAAATATTCTGCTGAAATTGAATGTAACTTAGAGCCAGAAAATTCCTGGGAAACCACATTAGCCAAACCTCTCATTTCACAGATAAGAGGACCAGAGAGGTTGTTATTTCATCTCTGATTTAAACAAGTAAGTCAACAGCAGAACCACAGCAGGACTCTACAGCTCCAGTTCCTAGTCCAGGGCTTTCAGCTTCACCACTCTGCCTCAAGATGCTTCCATTGCATGGTCTGCTCAGGATTAGCAAGTGGGTCTTCTCTGTGGGGACTTTTTGACTCTTGAGAATTAAAAAAAAAAAGACATTATCAACCAAAGACTCAGCAATATATATATATACACAGAAAATCAACAAGGGCAACATCTTTTCAGAGGCCAAGTGGTCTAAATTGATGTAGACTTTCTCTTCAACCAGAGTCTTAATGTATCCTACATGAGGCGATGTATGTGTTGATTTGGGTATCTTCCCAGCCTCACAGATCATCGAACTTTGCCTTCATTCTTACACATCAGTCCACTCCCAGGGCCACAGTCCAGATACCAGCCACTACCAGGAATTGTCTGTCAAAGTCAGTTCAGACTGCTATGACAAAATACTATACACTGGGTAGGTTGTAAATAAGAGAAATATTTCTTACAGTTCTGGAGGCTATAATGTCCAAGATTAAGGTGCCAGCAGTTTCCGTGTTTGCCATTGGCCTGCTTTTTGCCTCATAGGTCATGCCTTTTAGCTGTGTCCTCACATGGTGAAAGGGAGCAAGGGAACTCTCTGGGGCCTCTTTCGTCAGGACACTAACCCCATTCATGAAGGCCCCACCCTCGTGATCTAATCACCTCCCAAGAACCCCATCCTCTAATATCATCACCTTGATGATTAGGTTTTCAGCACACGAATTTTGAGGGGACACAAACATTCAGACCCTAGCATATTCTCTTAGCAAAATTTCACTCTCCAATCTCTACTTCTAATTCTTCCACTTCTCACACTCTAACTATGTCTGTACTGTGACATTTCCACTCTCATCATGCCTCCCTATACCCTCTCAAATTCCTCTTGGTTTCAATTTTCTCACCCAGCTTGGACCATACAGTCAATAATTTCAGCCATGTCTTTGCAACATCTTTGTCTCCCACCTTCCTGATTCCTGGGTGTTGGGTCCAGCAAATCCTTCTGATGTGGTTTGTATCTCTGTTCCCACCCAAATCTCATGTTGAATTGTAATTCTCAGCCCTGGTGGAGGAGCCTCACGGGAGGGGATTTGATCATGGTGGTGGAGTTCTCATGAATGGCTTAGCACCAGCTCCCCTTGGTACTGTATGGTGAGTGAGTTCTCAAGAGATCTGGTTGTTTAAAAGTGTGTAGCAGCAGCGTAGGAAAGGTTAGACACAACTATTCTGCTGAAACTGAATATGATTTAGAGCCAGAGACTTTCTGGGAAACCAGGAATTTCCCGCTTTCTCTTCCTCCTGTTTCTGCCACGTAAGACAGGCTTGCCTCTCCTTCACCTTCCACCATGATTGTAAGTTTCCTGAGGTCTCCCCAGAAGCCAAGCAAATGCCAGAATCATGTTTCCTGTACAGTTGCAGAATTGTGAGCCAATTAAACCTTGTTTCTTTACAAATTACTCAGTCTCGGGTATTTCTTTATAGCAATGAGAGAACAGACTAATACACCTTACTTAATCCTATCACATTCATTTTTTCTGCTCCTGACATGTTGAGCTCAGTTGAATAAAATGACAACATTGTAACAATTAGCCACTAGTGTACATTTGTCATTTCCACTCTCACATGGGCCTTCATTACAGCTCAATATTTTTATTCTCATCCTATTTCTTATTTCCTGTATACCAGCAATATCAGAGCTCTCAAATTATCTCTTCCATTTGACTCACGTGACTTTCAGAAATGGCCACATTTCCCAGGACACTAAACAAAAAAGGGCCCATTGATGTACACTCCTCCAACTTCCACCTTCCCACCTCCAATAAACACATCACCACCCTTACCTTCTTTAACCTTCTCTAAAACCTACAGAGCTATTTAGATATAAATACCTGTGACTTTCCCCTTTCACCCGCATCCTCTTTTCCTATTGATTGTACAGAAACTTTAAAAATAATCATTTTACTGGGAGAAACTAAACTTCCCTCTTTCCCTCTTTGTACTTGCTAATCAAATGTCTTTGCTTAATTTTCTCTAGTTACACACACACACACACACAGAGAAAGAAATACACACACAGAGAGACACATACACACGTGAATTTAAGTTCATATGAGCCCATGAAATTAGTGCCTTTATTTAGTAATAAATCATCTTAATAGTAATAAATCATCTTAATATTTAGTAATAAATCATCTTAATAGAGCTCAGGGAAAAATAAGTACTGGTGCATGCTAGATTTGGTCATGGTGTTTCTACACACCCTCCCAGTAGGCAGTTTGTAGTAGTTCCATCAGTAATGAAATGCCAATTATCAGCAGTTAACAGCACATACTTAACCTGCTGATATCACATGAAGTGGGAGTTTTCCAAGATCTCAATCTTTTTATTTCCAAAATTTCTAAATTAGCAAGCCTACTCTGGGGCTACTTTATAAGGTATTTATGATACCTAGGAGCCCCAAGTATGTTTCCCAGAATTCATTTTAACTAAGCAACAACTAGCTGTACACATGATATTTTCCCCGTAAACACCATTTCTGCTAAGAGAAATTAGACATTTGCAGATCAGAAGAATTGACATGCTGATGGTCCCGGATCCTGGCAGAAACACACTCTATGTTTCTCTTAGGATGGTTGAGAAAAATACAAAGGTATGACATCCCACAAAGGAACCTCAGTATTTGCCCCTCCTTATCAGCTAAACTTAAGTGTTCACTTAATTACCTCTTGACTTATATCTAGGTTGTCATTAAGCAAAAAACAAAATAAACAAACAAACAAAAAAGATTATAAGGAGATCCATTGTACTTCATACTTTGGCTAAATCTCAGCTTTTTCAGTTTAGATATTTTCAAACCCCAGACTGATGGCCACTGTGATGTTGTCTTTCATAAATTTGGAGAATACACAAACTCAGACTTCCTAAGCCTTCCCTAGGCAGTTGGTCCTGACCCTGGAGGCCCTTAATCTGCAGAGAGGAATAGAATAGAGGGCATAAGGGCTTTCGTTATTATGCTTGATCATGACTTGTACATATTACCCTTGGCATGTGACATGGTGTCCACAGCTGTAATTCTTTCTTAAATTTGTTTGGAGCTAGTGGATGATGGCCCCTGAGCCAGGCTGGGCTGACCCCCATGAATGGTGCCTTTTTGCAGAGTTATTTTGCCCGGTGTCAGAAATAACTTTACGTAACTCATTATTCTTTTTTACTGAGTATAAATAAAGTTGCATGTCATCTGATAGTTTATGAAGTAATGCACACATGCTCTTAATATGGTGAGCAACAGCACACGGCTTAGAGAAACTTAAACATTCAATCTCTTGCCACCTCTCCTTCCCCTACACCAAAAAAAAGAATAGGGGAAAAGTTATTTTAAGTGGGAATTAATAGGACACTCTAACAGTTTCAGGTAAGGTTTGGGGACTTGTGTATATGTATAGGTGTTTAATCCTTTTAAAATAACCATAAGATAAAAACTTTGGGGAAAGTTCAAACAAATTTAGGAGGATTGATGAATATTTAGTAACTAGGGCATTTTGGAAATTCTAAGTAAGAACAGGAACCTTTCCTTTTGTCCTTTCTATCAGTGCTTCCAGTGATGTTGCTGTGCTCCTGAGCACCTCTGTATACCAGAGCCCAGAACAATAAACGCAGCAAATTAAATGTGGCTCCAGTGGTTTGGGACCGGGACCAATAAGTTATCTTTATTAATGCATTCAGGGAAAAGGTCTCATTTTTATTACATTGTTTCCTTAATGATAAAGGCAGTAACAGCACTGCACAAAAACACTCCAAAGAAATCTCGGGTTTTTGGCAGCCAGGTTAATCTCCCTGTGTGTTTCATACAGAGTAGGGATTTGGCACAGTTTAACTCACACACTCCTGGGTTTAAAAAGCAGCCCCCTCCCCCTTTTCTCATGCTGCCTCTCTTTGCTTACTCTGACATTTTCTTGGCTTCTACTGAAATTTTGACACATAAATCCCACTTGTCAAATGATATTGTAAAACAAGCATCCAAGTGTCAGCACATGGCCCGATAGTCTGGGGACTAGAGAATAGAATGAGGAACACCTCTATGGCAGCTTTCATCTGCCTCCAGCCACCTGCAAGTAATTTGAAACTCGTTTCCAACACAGCTAGGTTATTTGGCCTGGCAACATACACAGAGCAAAAAGAAAAGGCCAGAGTCATCAAAACCTGTTAACTCTGTTATGAGTAGATAAAACAGTATATTTTTAAAAATCTGCCTCAGACCAATCCATTAACATTCAGTCAGATGGGCTGAAATCTCTTTTTAGTTACAAATCCCACCAAACAGCTTTGGCCCATTAAGACATCACATTTGCCAAACACTCCCAGCCTCTGGGCCTCACGTTGTTGGACTTGCAAATAGCTGAGCCCCTGACAGGACTTCTGTGATCCTTCTGGAGTCTGAATCTGGGATGTTTCCCTCTCACTTAGGGATAAAACAGAGACTCTAAGTCAAGATGTGGAAAGTCTCTTATGAAGAAGTGGTTACCTTCTTTGCCCAAATCCATAAAATATCCGTGATTATTCTTTATTCTTAGCAGACTTATAGGGTTCTCTGTGGAGATTTTGGTTTGGTTTGCAAAGAATGGTTCAAAGTTCATAGGCAGCAATGAAGAGAAAAGCAAGGAATAGAGCTCTATGGATGGAATGACACCCAGGAAATTTCAGTTAATTTCAGGTCCTTGCTTGGCCAAAGTCAACTTCACTGAATAGCAGTTTGTTCATCTGTACAGGGGGACACTAATTTCTATCTCAAAAAAAAAATGTCAAATTAAATGAGGCAATTTAGCGAACCTGTTCAGCAAATGTTAGCTTTTATTATCTATTTTTTTTAACAATAAGACACAAGCACGTGAAGCAATCAGAGGTGGTTTTGCTATGGATCTAATGATGCTTGCACCCCTCTCACCTGGAAGGAGCCCCAGCAGTGCAGTAAAACATTCATAGAATTGTAAAGTTTGAAGAAGTAATATATGGTTGTGGTAACAAACTGGTGTTTGAATATCATCAAATTCAAAGATAATTTAAGGCTCATGCTTGCACAATGAAACTTGAAATAACTTAAATCTCACAGTTCTTATGAAAAAGGCACTTGTTTCAAATTTGGCAATAATCTTCAACATTTATATAGCATACCATTAACAAGTTGTAAAGCTAAAAGAATGCTATTAAACAATAATAAAAACAAATTTTGATCATCCATGCTAAAGGAAATATTAAATCATCTTTCTTTGCTCTCATTAGAAAATAATATAACAAAAGCATTCTGATATGAAGTGATCAAAGAGTGTGCAGCCAAAAAGTAGGAAAAAGTATTTTATAGGTGAGCCATGAAGTTAATTAATTAAATTATGTAATTTTAGAAAGTTTGCAGTGTGATTATAGTGTTTTTAAATTATGTAATTTTCTATGATTACCTATCTCATAATATTCACTTTCATATCATAACCTGAATTTTTTTCTCAAAGAGGAACTACCCTAAATTATATAAGCTTCAAACCCCAAAAAACCTGGATTTGCTCCTGAGGGCAAGGAACAAGGGAGTTGTTTATGAACACAGAAATAATAAACTTCTATGACTTCAGGCAGGCCGGGCAAGCCCTTGGACAAACTTGTGCTGATTTATTTTGGGATGCTCCTTGTCCTTCCTACCCCTATTCCCTAATCCTGGATTCTCCTTCCACCTACACTTCAGGCCCTCCTCCCTTCAGCGTCACTTAGTAAAGCCCAGAAACTAACAGTATTCCCTGCATCTTCCTTCCTTCCCCTCTGCTCTGTCTATACCCCAGTCGATACCCACCTGTGCACACTTACCCTCCCAGAATTTGCTTCAGATCATGAGAAAAAAAGCCATTCATATTTTACTATGTGACGGTAAACTGGCTAAACACTAGACCATGTAAATTAACCATACAAACATGTCATTAGTGGGTTTCAAAAAACTCTAAAAGAGGATGTTTAAAAGGAAGGCTATGAGCACTTGGAGATTGAGGGCAGGAGCTACTTGGTGCATCTCTGAATGCTGGCGGTTATTCCTCCTCTAGCTTGATGGCAGTTGTTAGAGAGTTCTTCTGGAGAATGTACTGCAGCTGGTGTGGAGAACTGTTTAAAGGCAACAGCTGCCTACTTTGTTTCTAGCACTCAGACTTCTTCACAAACTATTTCCAAGATGCTTCAATAATGGAGTCATCCAGAGGAACACCTATAGGCTTTAGAGTACAAAATTTTGCAAACTTCCCACTCTATGCTGATGCACAGGATAAAAACATCCTCTGCACCCATTTCTGACTGCCAGGGCCCTTCCCTCAAAAGCCCCGCCCCAATATGGTAGTGTTCTTATTACTCCACATTATGTCATCATCATCACTTCTGAGGAATAGCATAAGGGCCTGCCCAATTTTGTTGCCAGTCATCTTTTCAAGCTTACCCTGTCCACACTGAGCTCCATCTATTTAAATTGTTCCCCAATCCTGGCTGATGGATGGAGTCACTTGGGAGCATGTGAATAGTATTGCTCTGGGCCTCACTATGGTCACACTGAGATGACACATCAGGCAGATGGGGCTAAGAATATTTGACATGTCTCCAGGAAACGTTGATGATTTATTTTATTCCTCGATCTCATCTACATGTCCTGCTCTACTGGCTGGCTCGTCTCACACTGTTTTACCAGCCTCACTATTCAATGGTCCTTCTTTTAAAAAACCTCCATCTACCAACCTACCTGAATGAGATTCTGCTCCGGAGTTTAGGACCCAAACATTCGCCCACAAGTCCCCATCATTATTCATCTTGACTGTCACTGCCTGTGGACTAGCATTCATTCTGAGACCATTTAGACCACTTCCCACACAACAATCAAACTGATCTTTGCAAAATACATGTCTAAGTACACTACTTAGAGCCCATCCTTGGCCTTGTGCCTTTCCCTGGGTTTCAATCCCCTTTGGTACAGCCTTTCATTTTAGTTACACTGTGCTCATCCAGCCTGCCCTCCTCAGTTCTTTGAATGTTTCATTTTATCTCCCCTTCCCCACTACCTTGGCACATGCTGTTCTCCCAATGCTTACCGTTCAACAAGGAGACTAAGCATATTCTTAAAGCCGGTAAAGCCCAGGCAAGCAAATAATGAGCACGAAAACTTTAAAACATACTTGGAAATTAAAAAGAAGATATTAAAATAGTTATCACAGTGACCAACTTGGTTGGTCTTCATTATTTGGAGGTTCCATTTAGTTAAGTGCTGATTTTCAAACCCATGCTGTGGGAGGGTTGCTGAGGCTTCAGTGATGAGCCCAGTAGACACATGAAGCTTAGAGCCTTTTAAGGAAACAGGAAGTGTCTAAATAATCATACTAATGACCCACTGTTACAATCTGAGACAGTTTCTGAAGGAAAGAGACACAGATATTTTAGGGCTAATAAAAAACAAAGCAACACATCGGGTGACATTTGAAGGACAGGTAAGAAGTTAGCTAGCTGAAAGTGGTGAATGTTCCAGGAGGAAAAATTCTGTGATGCCTATACTGGTAGTTATCAATACCTTCTGCATAAGAAAATCACCTGAGAGTCCGGGTGCGGTGGCTCATGCCTGTAATCCTAGCACTTTGGGAGGCCGAGGCAGGCGGATTGCCTGAGCTCAGGAGTTCGAGACCAGCCTGGGCAACATGGTGAAACCCTGTCTCTACTAAAATACAAAAAACTTAACTAGGTGTGGCAGTGTGCACCTGTAGTCCCAGCTACTCGGGAGGCTGAGGCAGAAGAATTGTTTGAATCTGGGAGGCAGAGGTTGCAGTGAGCTGAGATCGCACAACTGCACTCCAGCCTGGGCAACAGAGTGAGACCATCTCTGGAGGAAAAAAAAAAAAAAAAAAACGAAAATCACCTGAGAAGCTTAACTTAAAAGCATAAAAGTGCCTGGGCTCTGCCCCCAGAGGTCCCTATTTAATTGGTCTGTGGTAAGCCCAGGCAACGGTGTTTTTAAGAGCTCCACAGGTGACTCCTTTCTGTAATTCAAGTTGTAAATACTGGATGTCCAATGCCAGCAGCACCAACAGGACCTGAGAGATGGTTAAACATACAGATTCTGATGTCCAACCTGGATCTACTGAATGAGAAACTCTGGAGCTGAGCCCCCAATCTGCATTGTAACAAGCTCTCCTGATAATGCCAATGAAGATCGCTGCCATAGCACCTGTTTATTCTGATGATATAATCAGTGTTGTGCTTCAGTGAATACCAGTCTGTCTTGAGAGATGGAGCCCTGCAGTCCTGTGTCAGAGCCTGTAAGGTTAAAGGCCAAACTCAGCCACACACAAAATCTGCAGGGTAAAGAGGCTACACTGTGGAGCTCTTTGGAGTCAGTCATCTGGCTTCTCCCCTTAGCATCAGTCCTCCACGCCTCCCCCATGCCGTTCTTGACCATGCCTTGGCCTCTTCCTGGTGGTACATCTATGTGCAAATCACCTCCTTAACCAAAACTGCTAGGCCAGCACCTGGTGCCAAAGTGCCTCCTGGTTTTCTGAAACACTCTAATGATCTTTTAATTTTGTCTATATCCCATGCACCATAACAGTTCAGGGAAGTATCATTTACCAGGGGTCCCGTAGAGTCACTGAGAAAGGGGGGACTCAGCTGTAATTAAACTAAACTAAACATGTTTTGCCAGTGTCTATGTGTGTTGAATTTGATGGTGCTGAATAGCAAGAAATGGGATTAACTCAGAGAACACGTTACCCAGTTTCCATCCCCTGAAGGCCAGCCTATCTGGATTATAGCACTGTTATCCCCCACTGCCTGCCATCATTAGGATTCTTGACCAGCCAGAAAACAAGGATATCCCCCGTAGCTAAAGTGCTATGAAGCACTTTAGCTGTGTTTCATGGCCCACCTCTGCTCAGTTGGACCCGTGAAATGAGCCAACCAAAAGAACAGGAAGAACTCAGGGGCTTCTAATCTCTACTGGTAAGATTTTCCTTAATAAGGACTTTAAAAAATATCATCATTAAAGCCTTGAGAGAAAGATATTCTAGTCTTGGATCACAAGACTGACTACAGAATTGGAAAACCAACGTGTAAATCTGCCTTGAGAGTCTATTCTGACCCGGATTTGGGATTTGGGGGCATCAGAAAAACCCCCATCATTTATAAGAGTCATAAGAGCCACTGTGTGTGTGTGTATATATATATTTATATATATAGCATAGAGATGAATGTATATACAAAT
This sequence comes from Homo sapiens, assembly GCF_000001405.40. NCBI lineage: Eukaryota > Metazoa > Chordata > Mammalia > Primates > Hominidae > Homo > Homo sapiens. The sequence continues at coordinate 83,468 of NW_017363814.1, read as the reverse complement.
ATATAAGAGATGAAAAAAATATATATAGTACTTTAAGGTAAACTAACAAAAAAAAGTTTGTGAAGAAAACTTTAAAATATGCCTGAAAGATATAAAAGTAGATTTGAACAAATAAAAAAGATATACTTTGTTCTTGGCTAGAACTGAGCATATTAATAATACCACTTCTCACCAAGTAAAGTGTGAATATATAGTGATAAATATACCACAGATTTTTTTTCACCTCCAGCTTCATAGGTTGATTCTGAAGTTCTTCTTAGGCAAACAAAAACATACAATTGCCAGGAAAACCCTGGTGTGGATCAGCCACCACTGTGGGAATGTCACAAAGCCCCTCCTCTGCTTGGATTCTTCTCTCCAAAGCCCTAAGCTTCTAGGGAGAGGCAGTAAACCCTATGGACTCAGAGCACAGGTAGAAACACCTTGTTGCTGGGAAAAGGAGAAAGGGAGAGAACCCTCTAGTCCTGGCAAAGGGGTAAGAAAGAGTCCTGAACCCAGGATTCCATATCAACACTATTATACTACTCCTGGAGGAGAGGAAGGAAACTCTCCTAGCTAAGACCTGCTATAGATAAAAGGTGGTGTTTGACTGCCTGCCTTGGGAAGGAAGGGCAGAAAACTTCACCCCTGAGGCCCACACGTATAAGCTCTATCTAAGACTGAGGCTGTTTCAGGACAAGGGAGAACTCCCCTAACCCCCAACCCCAGACTAGCAAGAACTGATTAACAAGAAAGAGCAGTCTGTCATTGTGGAAGGGGTGAGACCACAGAGAAAGATCCTCTCTGTTGTACAAGTGGATAGAGATGTCTGAAAACTGAGAAGGAAGCAAAATATTGAGACAGAGTCTCCATCACTTGCATCTGAGTTTTAAGCATAAGACATCACTAGAGGAAATTTAATCAAAGCAACAAAAAACTCAAACCTAGCTCAGATACTGACTAAATTGACTCAATTTTCTGCTGTAGCTGTCTGAAAGGAGGTATGCCTACTTCCAGGTATACATGCTATTTACATCAGTCTCCTGTTTTACACAAAATGTTTAATATTTAGTAAAAAATCATGAGACACATACACATACAGGGTGAGAACGTTATTAAGAGACAAAGCAATCAGCTTAACCAGAGCCAGAGATGACGTGGATGTGAAACTATCAGAAAGAAATGATAAAATAACTATGACTAATAAGTTTTACTAATATGTAAAACTTCTAGTGGATCTAGTGGAAAAGATTTACCACATGTACAAATAGATGGGAAACTTCAGCAAAGTGATAAAAACTAAAAGAAGGACTTAACTAGAAATGCTATATATAACAAATGTGGCATAGAGATGAATATATAAGAGATGAAGAATGTCATCAATGTGGTTATGACTAAACTTGATCTGAGGGATGAGCCAGTGAACTTAGAGACAGTTCAATAGAAAGCAACCAAAATGGAACACTGACAAAGATATTGTAAGAGAAAAACCTACTCTTCATAAAAACACTCCTAAAAATCTTCACCAATTATTAATAAGTCAAATTCAGCAATTTATAAAGAAGATAAGACATTATGACTAAGAGAGGGTTTACCACAAAAACATAAAGTTGATTTAATATTTGAAAATCAATATAATTCATCATATCAATAGGCTAAAGGATAAAAAAACCATCTCAATAGATGCCAAAAAAAATTGACAAAATTCAAAATCCATTCATGATTTTTAAAAAGCCTCTAAGCAAATGAGAAATTAAAAGGAATTTAATTCTTGATAAAAGGCATCTTTGAAAAATTTACAGTTAATACCTTAATTCAGAGTGAAATCCTGAAAGCTTTCCACCTTAATATCAGTAGCAAAGCAAGAATATATTCTTTTATGGCTCCTATTCAGTATTACCTGGAAGACCTAGCCAGTCTCATAAGACAAGAGAAAAAAAGGACATATAGATTTAAAAGAAAGAATTAAAACTGCCTTTTTTCATAGATTGTATGATTGTCTACATAGAAAAACCCTAAGAATTTATTAAAAAGCAACTAGAACTAATACATGAATTTAGGAATGTTAATATTCAAAAATTAATTGTACTTCTCTATATAGCTAACATACAGAATTGAAAATTGAAGTCAGGAAAACAGTATGATTTACCATAATACACAAAATATAAAATTATTATATATAACAAAATATGTGGAGTGTTTGTATCGAAAACTAAAACACATTGATGAGAGAAATCAAAGAAGATCAAAATAAATCAACACAAGGAAGACTCAATTTCTTAGTAAGTTAATTCTCCTTTGAATCAATATATAGATTCACAGCACACCAGGCAAGATTCTGGTAGGCTATTTTTGTAGAAATTGACAAGCTGAGTATCAAATTATTAAGATAAAGAAATGAATAACCAGAAAAGCAGGGACTGGTCAAAATGATTTTGAAAAAAATAATTAAGTTGGAAGACTAACACTATCTGGTTTCAAACTTACTACAAATCTATAATAATTAAGGTAATATGATATTGACAAAAGGATAGGCACGTATATCAGTGGAACAGAATAAAGATTTTAGAAATAGATTCTCACATATATACTTAATTGCTTTTTGCCATAGGTACTAAGTAAATTTAATGCAGAAATGATATTATTTTCCATATATGGTGATGGAACAATTTGATATCTATATACAAGTAAATAAAGCTTGACCTCTATCTACCCTGTACCATATGCAAATATTAAATCAAAATGGATCATACCTATAAATTTAAAATATACAAGTATAAAATTACTACCAGAAAATTCAGGAGATAATCTTTGCCATTTTAAGTCAGACAGAGATTCTTACACAGGACACAAAAAGCACAAATTATTTTTAAAATTGGTTAATTGGACTTCATTAAAATTAAAAACTTTTCTTCTTCAAAGAATAATGTTAAAAACATAAAACATAAACTTGCAGAAAATATTTGCAAAACACATATCTGATATAGGACTGGTATCTAGAACATATAAATGACTCAAAACTCCATAGTGGGGAGGTTCTAAGATGGCTGAATAGGAACAGCTCCAGTCTACAGCTCCCAGCATGAGCAACACAGAAGACGGGTGATTTCTGCATTTCCAACTGAGGTACTGGGTTCATCTCACTGGGGCTTGTCGGACAGTGGGGGCAGGACAGTGGGTACAGCCCAAAGACTGTGAGCTGAAGCAGGGTGAGGCATCACCTCACCCGGGAAGCGCAAGGGGTCAGGGAATTCCCTTTCCTAGCCAAGGGAGGCCATGACAGATGGCACCGGGAAAATCGGGTTACTCCCACCCTAATACTGCACTTTTCCAACAGTCTTAGCAAACGGCACACCAGATTATATCCTGTGCCTGGCTCAGAGGGTCCCACACCCACGGAGCCTTGCTCACTGCTAGCACAGCAGTCTGAGATCGAACTGCAATGCCGCAGTGAGGCTGGGGGAGGGGTGCCCACCATTGCTGAGGCTTGAGTAGGTAAACAAAGCGGCCGGGAAGCTCGAACTGGGTGGAGCCCACCACAGCTCAAGGAGACCTGCCTGCCTCTGTAGACGCCACCTCTGGGGGCAGGGCGTAGCTGAACAAAAGGCAGCAGAAACTTCTGCAGACTTAAGCGTCCCTGTCTGACAGCTTTGAAGAGAGTAGCGCTTCTCCCAGCACAGAATTTGAGATCTGAGAACGGACAGACTGCCTCCTCTAGTGGGTCCCTGACCCCTAAGTAGCCTAACTGGGAGGCACCTCCCAGTAGGGGCCAACTGACACCTCATACGGCCGGGTGCCCCACTGAGAATAAGCTTCCAGAGGAACGATCAGGCAGCAACATTTATCGTTCTGCAATATTTGCGGTTCTGCAGCCTCTGCTGACGATACCCAGGCAAACAGGGTCTGGCGTGGACCTCCAGCAAACTCCAACAGACCTGCAGCTGAGGGTCCTGACTGTTAGGAGGAAAACTAACAAACAGAAAGGACATCCACACCAAAACCACATCTGTACGTCACCATCATCAAAGATCAAAGGTAGATAAAAACCACAAAGATGGGGAGAAACCAGAGCAGAAAAGCTGAAAATTCTAAAAATCAGAGCGCCTCTTCGCCTCCAAAGGAAAGCAACTCCTTGCCAGCAACGGAACAAAGCTGGACAGAGAATGACTTTGACAAGTTCAGAGAAGAAGGCTTCAGAAGATTAGTAATAACAAACTTCTCCAAGCTAAAGGAGGATGTTCGAACCCATTGCAAAGAAGCTAAAAACCTTGAAAAAAGATTGGACGAATGGCTAACTAGAAGAAACAGCATAGAGAAGACCTTTAATGACCTTGTGGAGCTGAAAACCATGGCACAAGAACTATGTGACGCATGCACAAGCTTCAGTAGCCGATTCGATCAACTGGAAGAAAGGGTATCAGTGATGGAAGATCAAATGAATAAAATGAAGTGAGAAGTTTAGAGAAAAAAGAGTAAAAAGAAATGAACAAAGCCTCCGGAAAATGGGACTATGTGAAAAGACCAAATCTATGTCTGATTGGTGTACCTGAAAGTGATGGGGAGAATGGAACCAAGTTGGAAAACACTCTGCAGGATATTATCCAGGAGAACTTCCCCAATCTAGCAAGGCAGGCCAACATTCACATACAGGAAATACAGAGAACGCCACAAAGATACTCCTCGAGAAGAGCAACTCCAAGACACTTATTTGTCAGATTCACCAAAGTTGAAATGAAGGAAAAAATGTTAAGGGCAGCCAGAGAGAAAGGTCAGGTTACCCACAAAGGGAAGCCCATCAGACTAACAGTGGATCTCTCGGCAGAAACTCTACAAGCCAGAAGAGAGTGGGGGCCAATATTCAACATTCTTAAAGAAAGGAAATTTCAGCCCAGAATTTCATATCCAGCCAAACTAAGCTTCATAAGTGAAGGAGAAATAAAATCCTTTACAGACAAGCAAATGCTGAGAGATTTTGTCACCACCAGGCCTGCCTTATAAGAGCTCCTGAAGGAAACACTAAACATGGAAAGGAACAACCAGTACCAGCCACTGCAAAAACGTGCCAAATTGTAAACACCATCGATGCTAGGAAGAAACTGCATCAATTAACGAGCAAAATAACCAGCTAACATCATAATGACAGGATCAAATTCACACATAACAATACTAACCTTAAATGTAAATGGGCTAAATGCCCCAATTAAAAGACACAGACTGGCAAATTGGATAAAGAGTTAAGACCCATCAGTGTGCTGTATTCAGGAAACCCATCTCACGTGCAGAGACACATATAGGCACAAAGTAAAGGGATGGAGGAAGATCTACCAAGCAAATGGAAACCAAAAAAAGGCAGGGGTCGCAATCCTAGTCTCTGATAAAACAGACTTTAAACCAACAAAGATCAAAAGAGACAAAGAAGGCCATTACATAATGGTAAAGGGATCCATTCAACAAGAAGAGCTAACTATCCTAAATATGTATGCACCCAATACAGGAGCACCCAGATTCATAAAGCAAGTCCTGAGTGACCTACAAAGAGATTTAGACTCCCACACAATAATAATGGGAGACTTTAACACCCCACTGTCAACATTAGACAGATCAATGAGACAGAAAGTTAACAAGGATGCCCAGGAATTGAACTCAGCTCTGCACCAAGCTGACCTAATAGACATCTACAGAACTATATGTATTGGGTGCATATATATCTAGGATAGTTAGCTCTTCTTGTTGAATTGATCCCTTTACCGTTATGTAACCCTAGTGAATAATCTAAAATCATGCCCTATTAGAGACAATGATAACAATGTACAGAAATTTTTACTCATAGAAGGCAGTATCACCAGTTAGAATGGCGATCATTAAAAAGTCAGTAAACAACAGGTGTTGGAGAGGATGTGGAGAAATAGGAACACTTTTACACTGTTGGTGGGACTGTAAACTAGTTCAACCATTGTGGAAGTCAGTGTGGCAATTCCTCAGGGATCTAGAACTAGAAATACCATTTGACCCAGCCATCCCATTACTGGGTATATACCCAAAGGATTATAAATTATGCTGCTATAAAGACACACGCACACGTATGTTTATTGCGGCACTATTCACAATAGCAAAGACTTGGAACCAACCCAAATGTCCACCAATGATAGACTGGATCAAGAAAATGTGGCACATATACACCATGGAATACTATGCAGCCATAAAAAAGGATGAGTTCATGTCCTTTGTAGGGACATGGATGAAGCTGGAAACCATCATTCTCAGCAAACCATCACAAGGACAAAAAACCAAACACCGCATGTTCTCACTCATAGGTGGGAACTGAACAATGAGAACACATGGAAGAGAAAGGGGAACATCATACACTGGGGCCTGTTGTGGGGTGGCGGGAGCGGGGGAGGGATAGCATTAGGAGATATACCTAATGTAAATAACGAGTTAATGGGTGCAGCACACCAACATGGCACATGTATACATACGTAAGAAACCTGCACATTGTGCACATGTACCCTAGAACTTAAAGTATAATAGTAATAAAGAACACGTTAAAAAAATAAATAATAAATAAATAAATAAATAAAAATAAAAATAAAATAAAACACATTGCTAAATGCTACCTTCCTCCTAAGTAGGAGGCATTTAAAAATAAAATAAAAAAAAGATGCATGTTGAAATAAAAAAAACATCAATAGTAAGAAACCAAACAAACTAATTTTAAAATACTGGAGAAAATATTTTACAGATTCTTTGCCAAAGAAGATACACAGATGTCAAATAAATATATAAAATAATTCTTAATATCATTAGTCTTTAGAGAAACGCAAGCTAAAACCACAGTGAGTTACCACTACATAACTATCACAATGATAAGAAAGAAAAAAGAGGCCGGGCGCGGTGGCTCACGCCTGTAATCCCAGCACTTTGGGAGGCCAAGGTGGGTGGATCACGAGGTCAGGAGTTCAAGACCAGCCTGGCCAACATAGTGAAATGCCCTCTCTACTAAAAATAAAAAAATTAGCTGGGCGTGGTGGCAGGCGCCTGTAATCCCAGCTACTCGGGAGCCTGAGGCAGAAAATTGCTTGAACCCAGGAGGCGGAGGTTTCAGTGAGCCAAAATTGCGCCACTGCATTCCAGCCTGGGCAACAGAGCAAGACTCCATCTCAAAATGGTAAAAAAAGGAAAGAAATAGAGAAGCAAATGAACAAACCAGTTTTTACAATAATAGGTGCTAATAAGGATGTGAAAGGCAAATAGAGCTCTTATACATTGTTGGTAGAAATAAAAATAGGTACAGACGCTTTGGAAAATAATTTAGAGGTGTTTAATAAGGTTAAAAATGCACCTAAAAATTAGCAATTCCACTCCTAGCTATTCACCTAAGAGAAAAGAAAATGTGTCCATATAAATATTTATAATGGCTTTATTCAAAAATCAAGCCAAATGTCCAAATGCTGAATAGATTTTTTAAAAAAATTTTGGTACACCAATACAATGAAATACTACCCATCAATTAAAAAAATGATCTGAGTGAACTAAGTTGCACAATACTATTGCACTATACTAAATGAAAGAAATCAGATTCAGTGGTTACATATGAGTCTGTTCATATGACATTCTGCAAAGGCTAAACCATAGAGACAGAAGACAAATTAGTGGTTGCCAGGGGCTGGGTGTTGGAGGAAGGGGATTAAATAGGAGGGGGAATGAGGAAACAGTGGGGTGATGGAAGTGCATTATACGTTGTTTGTAGTATGGCTAGCTGACTGCATGCAATTGTCAAAATTCTTGGAACTCTACAAGGGTAAGTGTTATCATGTGTAAAGTATACCTCAATAAAATGACAAAAATTGTAGATAATCAAATGAAGAAAATAATTAAAGTAAGTTTTTAATATAATTCCTCTGACTGTACATTCTCTGTGGCATATATTCAAGGACAAAAATAACTGAAATGAAATGTTACATATAGTGCAGGATTAATATCCCATTAAGAGATCCTGCACTTATCATACACTATACATAAGATAGTTTCATAATTATACTACCAATTTTAATGCAAATACTAAGCATACTAAATTTAAGATTTGAACTGTAAAAGAGGTATTAATATAAAATTAAAGAAAGTAAACAATCTTGCAATACTAATTTTAATTGAATATAAAATTCACATGTATTATAGCACTCTCTACCTAAAGCAGGTAGAAATAATGACACTTCAATAGGAATGAACAGAGTTCATGTTCAGCTATTGATTTCTAGACATCATTCCACAGTATAAAATATCATAATTTATTACAGTAATAGCTAATTCCAAGTCCAGGGCAAGGAAAATAAAATGTAGTTTACTTGTTTCTAAGTGCTCAAATACTAAGACCATGTCAGAGGAGCACATGAGCCTGTTAAAGTGGCTCCCATGAAGCAAATTTTGCACATTTGAGTCTATAAAAGAACAATGATGGTAATTAATTGTAATACATTAATCTGAATCTGCTGTGATTCTTGGGGCTGCCCTATTTGTGAATCGTTCATTGCTTAAACTCCTTTAAATTTAATTCGGCTGAAGTTTTTCTTTTAACACTTTCTTTAAATCTAGAACAGGTTCCTCACATTTTGTTTGTTTGGTTGTTCTCATGATAATGACTTTTCTGAAAAATCCAGGTTAGTGAATTTTTTTAAATGAGTTCATAATGATAATAGAGAAGAAACAAGATAGAGAAATAAGAAAATTTTTCTGTAAGAGAATACCAGCTGATAAATTAAGAAGGAATAATAGAATTGGAAAAAATGCCATTTTGCAACCCCTAAGTAATAATTGTAGCAAGTAAGATCATGAAAATATAACATGAAAGGTTAGGGAACAGATTAGTCACACAGTCAAGGTAGTCTTCTGCAAATTATTTACTAATCCCAGAGGAGAAAATCTACCTCACAATGAAGAGATCTTTGCGATCATCACCTTAACCAAGTGGCCTAACTTAGCATCATTATGGGGCAACAGTCTAATATCATGTATATAAAGCACTGAGAAATGTACAACAACACTGATAGAGTATTCTTGCCAAAGCATGTGTAACCTGAATCTAACAATGAAAAAAATTAATCAGGTAACTTCACAAGGTAGAAAATTCCATAAGAAAACGAACCTGGATTCTTCAGAAAAGTAATTATCCTGAGAACAACAAAACAAAATGTGAGGAACCTGTTCTAGATTAAAAGAAACTGTTAAAAGAAAAACTTCAGCCGAATTAAATTTAAAGGAGTTTAAGCAATGAACGATTCACAAACAGGGCAGCCCCAAGAATCACAGCAGATTCAGAGAGACTCCAGGGGTGCCTCCTGGTCAGAATAAATTTATAGACAAAAAAGTAAAGTGACGTACAGAAATCGGAAGTGAGGTGTAGAAACAACTGGATTGGCTACAGATTGGCGTTTGCCTTATTTAAACACAGTTTAAACACTCAGCAGTGTTATGAGTGGCTGAAATAAGGCTGCTGGGATTGGCCAATCGCTGACCTGCTCAGCGATTGTTACAGGTGCATACTTTTAAGTTAGGTTTTCAATCTTGTCTACCTATTAAGTTAGGTTGCAGTTCATCCTCAAGGACTCAAATATAGAAGTATGGAGTCCTTCTCAGGCCATATTTGGTTTGCTTTAACAAAACTAAAAAGTGATTACAACCAAATGCAATGCATCAATCTTCACTGAATCCTGCAGATAAAGAAAACAAAATACATTTGAAAAATAATTGGGGAATTTTGATATGGAGTTCATATTAAACATAATGCATGTAAATTTGGGCATGTAAAAAATGGTGCTGTGCTTCTGAGCTCATACTTAGGAGATGCATGATAAGGTACATAGAAGTGAAATTTCATAGTGTCTGCAACTTACTTGCAAATTGTTCAGCAAAAATACATAAATAAATAAATAAATAGGAGATATTGAGGGAAAATAATGGCAAAGTGGGAACAATTGATAAGTCTAGATTAGGGTATATACTTTTTTATTGTACTAGTCTTTATCTTTTATGTAAATTTTGAAACTTTCAAAACAAAATGTTTGGAGAGAAAAAAAATAACTCTCGATCCCGATGAAGCAAAGGCCTGAGAGATGTATTGGCATCGCATTGGAAAATGCATCTCTGTGTGGCGGTTGGGAGAAAGAGGTTAGCCGCTGCGGTTGCTGACCTGTGAGGGACTGACGTTGATGTAAAAACCCGAGGCGCTGATTTCCATGCCTAACGTTCTATTGCCCAAGGCCAGAATGCGGACTTCGCATTTTTCCCAATTGAGAATTTGGAAGATGCATGTAGCACTGAACAACAGAAGTCTGTGCTTCCCAGCAGTTTCAGCAAAGGCAGGGGGCCAAAACGTTATTAATTTTAATTCTAGCTAAACCACTGGCAAAAATGGGTGGCTCCCCTCAAATTCCATGGGAATGGATGGAAAGCACAGGCTTCTTTGGAAACCTGAAGCAGGATTTCAGCGGGATTGTTTTGGGAAGTCACATTTATGTCATTAATTAGTTTAACAAACAAGCTTACCATCACTCGTTTTAGCCTAATCATTAGCATCACATCTAATCAAATTTAGGTCTAAGAGGAAATAAAGACTTGGTATGTAATTCTGTTTGCTTTCTTTTATTTTGACAAGCATTTGTGGAAGTATTTTTTTCTCTCTCTTTTGCTAGATATTTTATGGAGAGCTAGATGTTCTTCAAAGAATATTGTGGAGAGAGGGGGCTATGGTTGGACAGAGAGATAAAAACAGCAAGTTTTCCAATTAAACAAATGAAGAAAGTTACCCAAGCCATGCATATACACTAAGGGCCCATCCCCATCAAGAGACTCAATCCACTCCACTTCAATTGTAAGAGTATGCTTTTAATACTCAATTTTAATGAAATTCAAGCAAAGCTTTTTGTTGCTCAATCTCTTTAACCAGGTGCCAAAAATCTGGCCAAATGTATGGAGGCAGATTCTTCCTCTTTGAACCACCACAAGGACTTTGATGTTTATGCCGAGTAGAAGGATTCTAGCTTGATTATCCTTTCTTCCAAAAGACCATCCCTTTCTTGGTAAGGAGCATGCTGCCTGATTTATCCAGCTTGGAAGGACACCATGAACTTGGCCTTCCAAACCTACTTATTAAAAATCCCTTCCCTTTTTGGTCAGCCGTAAGAATCACAAAGATTCTCACACAACAAAGTAATTAACTGTTGCCAATTTTTTCTGAAAAAATAATTACGTTTAAGATAACTCATATATACTTTTTATTGGCATTTTCTGTTTATTATTATACCTTTTAAACAGCAACAAAACTAAAACTCTATCCCTTTGACACTAGATTTTATAATTTGAAAAATGAGTTTGCCTTGTGCTTCCAAATCCACCTGATGTTTCTTCGGACAAATTGTTACACAATGTATTGCCTGTTGTTCTCAAGCCTTAACTGTATAATTTAAAAGTATAACTAATATATTCCTATGAAAATTTATGTAAATACCTCAATGCATGACATTTTTTAACAAGTTACTACATATAGTACCCCATTCCTGCTGGCACTCAGTGCAAACATCTTGTCTTAATTCAACAGTTCAAATTTTCTTCAGACTTTGATTACCCTTGATTAATTTCTCAATCCCAGCTGACACCATTCTAAAAGGTTAAAAAAAATTAATCACTCCAATGTCATTCCAGATAAGACAAGCACAGGTTTTAAAATGCTTGTTAGGCATGTGGGGTGGAATTTAAGACATCCTATATATAAAATTATCACACAGAAATTGGGAAATTAGTCACGGACCCAGGCACTAGAAAAACATGTTTGCTTTTTGATACCTCTGCAAGGTAAATTTCATTATTCCCTCATTAAGGGTTATATAGAGTAGTTACACAGCACCCATGGTCATCAGTTGTAAAGAGAATACTAGCCACGTTGTTTATTTTATACGTAAGTACAGCCAACCAAACATGCTTAACCACTTACAGCAGTTTATTGACACTGGCGAGAAACAACAATTTAGAAAAGCAAATGATGCAAATTGTATATGGTGGAGTTCTCAAGATTTCTGCCCCCCAACAAATTTTATTTAGAAACAGCTTTGTAACATTGAAAACATGCCAAAAATTTGGAAAGTAACAAGCAATCAGGTATTTTTTCCACCTAAAGTTATAATTTGGTTATGTGCCAATCTCAAACAGTAGATTTTTCAAATTCAACCAGTTTCATTCATCAGAACGTGAAGATCTATTCAACAATGACTATATAGAGATATTTATTAGGTCTTCAAGCCTGAACTAGTGAGCAGAAATCAAGCAAAAGCTGTGCACAGAGCAGCATTATAATCACCAAATTTCAAAGCAAGAAAAGAACGCTAATATCATTAACATATTTTGTTTTAGTTTTGACCAAATACTATAGTTAAATGTATGTTATATATGGAAATAAAAATTAGTTTCAGTTTGCAAGTACCCATATAAATAGATTTCCTTTAAAAGATAACATGGGAATTTTATGTGTATTGTAGCACTGCATAGTATGATATATGATACAATATAATATAATTATTATTTCATTATTTATCATTACTGCATTACAGGGTCTCATCAGTCAACACGTTAGCACGGAGGCAATGTTACACAGGAGATGAGAATATGACCAAACTGTATTTTGTCCTGCTATTTACTGGGTCTGTTACCTTTGGCATGTTCATTAACCTCCTGCTGCCCAAGTCTCCCCATTTGAAAAATAGGGATAATAGGGGTAGAGCCAAGATGGCTGAACAGGAACAGCTCCAGTCTTCAGGTCCCAGCATGAGCAACGCAGAAGATGGGTGATTTCTGCATTTCCAACTGAGGTTTGAAGAGAGTAGTGGTTCTCCCAGCACGCAGCTGGAGATCTGAGAATGGACGGACTGCCTCCTCAAGTGGGTCCCTGACCCCCGAGTAGACTAACTGGGAGGCACCCCCGAGTAGGGACAGAATGACACCTCACACGGCCGGGTACTCCTCTGAGACAAAACTCCCAGAGGAACAATCAGGCAGCAACATTTGCTGTTCACCAATATCCACTGTTGTGCAGCCTCCGCAGCTGATACCCAGGCAAACAGGGTCTGGCGTGGACCTCCAGCAAACTCCAGCAGACCTGCAGCTGAGGGTCCTGACTGTTAGAAGGAAAACTAACAAACAGAAAGGACATCCACACCAAAACCACATCTGTACGTCACCATCAAAACCAAAGGTAGATAAAACCACAAAGATGGGGAAAAAACAGAGCAGAAAAACTGGAAACTCTAAAAATCAGAGGGCCTCTCCTCCTCCAAAGGCATGCAGCTCCTCACCAGCAACAGAACAAAGCTGGACAGAGAATGACTTGACGTGCTGAGAGAAGAAGGCTTCAGACAATCAAACTACTCCGACCTAAAAGAGGAAGTTGGAACCCATGGCAAAGAAGTTAAAAACCTTGAAAAAAATTAGACGAATGGCTAACTAGAATAACCAATGCAGAGAAATCCTTAAAGGACCTGATGGAACTGAAAACCACAGCATGAGAACTATGCGATGAATGCACAGCCTCAGTAGCCGATTCAATCAACTGGAAGAAAGGGTATCAGTGATGGAAGATCAAATGAATGAAAGGAAGCAAGAAGAGAAATTTAGAGAAAAAAGAATAAAAAGAAACAAACAAAGCCTCCAAGAAATATGGGACTATGTGAAAAGACCAAATCTATGTCTGATTGGTGTACCTGAAAGTGACGGGGAGAATGGAACCAAGTTGGAAAACACTCTGCAGGATATTATCCAGGAGAACTTCCCCAATCTAGCAAGGCAGGCCAACATTCACATACAGGAAATACAGAGAACGCCACAAAGATACTCCTCGAGAAGAGCAACTCCAAGACACTTATTTGTCAGATTCACCAAAGTTGAAATGAAGGAAAAAATGTTAAGGGCAGCCAGAGAGAAAGGTCGGGTTACTCACAAAGGGAAGCCCATCAGACTAACAGTGGATCTCTCGGCAGAAACTCTACAAGCCAGAATAGAGTGGGGGCCAATATTCAACATTCTTAAAGAAAAGAATTTTCACCCCAGAATTTCATATCCAGCCAAAGTAAGCTTCATAAGTGAAGGAGAAATAAAATCCTTTACAGACAAGCAAATGCTGAGAGATTTTGTCACCACCAGGCCTGCCCTAAAAGAGCTCCTGAAGGAAGCTCTAAACGTGGAAAAGAACAACCGGTACCAGCCACTGCAAAAACATGCCAAATTATAAAGACCATTGAGGCTAGGAAGAAACTGCATCAACTAATGAGCAAAATAACCAGCTAACATCATAATGACAGGATCAAATTCACACATAACAATATTAACCTTAAATGTAAATGGGTTAAATGCCCCAATTAAAAGACACAGACTGGCAAATTGGATAAAGAGTTAAGACCCATCAGTGTGCTGTATTCAGGAAACCCATCTCATGTGCAGAGACACATATAGGCTCAAAATAAAGGGATGGAGGAAGATCTACCAAGCAAATGGAAACCAAAAAAGGCAGGGGTCGCAATCCCAGTCTCTGATAAAACAGACTTTAAACCAACAAAGATCAAAAGAGACAAAGAAGGCCATTACATAATGGTAAAGGGATCCATTCAACAAGAAGAGCTAACTATCCTAAATATATATGCACCCAATACAGGAGCACCCAGATTCATAAAGCAAGTCCTTAGTGACCTACAAAGAGACTTAGACTCCCACACAATAATAATGGGAGACTTTAACACCCCACTGTCAACATTAGACAGATCAATGAGACAGAAGGTTAACAAGGATATCCAGGAATTGAACTCAGCTCTGCACCAAGCAGACCTAATAGACATCTACAGAACTCTCCACCCCAAATCAACAGAATATACATTCTTCTCAGCACCACACCACACCTATTACAAAATTGACCACATAGTTGGAAGTAAAGCACTCCTCAGCAAATGTAAAAGAATATAAATTATAACAAACTGTCTCTCAGACCACAGTGCAATCAAACTAGAACTCAGGATTAAGAAACTCACTCAAAACCGCTCAACTACATGGAAACGGAACAACCTGCTCCTGAATGACTACTGGGTACATAACGAAATCAAGGCAGAAATAAAGATGTTCTTTGAAACCAGTGAGAACAAAGACACAACAAACCAGAATCTCTGGGACACATTCAAAGCAGTGTGTAGAGAGAAATTTATAGCACTAAATGCCCACAAGAGAAAGCAGGAAAGATCTAAAATTGACACCCTAACATCACAATTAAAAGAACTAGAGAAGCAAAAGCAAACACATTCAAAAGCTAGCAGAAGGCAAGAAATAACTAAGATCAGAGCAGAACTGAAGGAAATAGAGACACAAAAAAACCTTCAAAAAATCAATGAGTCCAGGAGCTGGTTTTTTGAAAAGATCAACAAAATTGATAGACTGCTAGCAAGACTAATAAAGAAGAAAAGAGAGAACAATCAAATAGAAGCAATAAAAAAATGATAAAGGGGATATCACCACCGATCCCACAGAAATACAAATCACCATCAGAGAATACTATAAACACCTCTACACAAATAAACTAGAAAACTAGAAGAAATGGATAAATTCCTCGACACATACACCCTCCCAAGACTAAACCAGGAAGAAGTTGAATCTCTGAATAGACCAATAACAGGCTCTGAAATTGAGGCAATAATTAATAGCTTACCAACCAGAAAAAGTCCAGGACCAGATGGATTCACAGCCGAATTCTACCAGAGGTACAAGGAGGAGCTGGTACCATTCCTTCTGAAACTATTCCAATCAATAGAAAAAGAGGGAATCCTCCCTGACTCATTTTATGAGGCCAGCATCATCCTGATACCAAAGCCTGGCAGAGACACAACCAAAAAAGAGAATTTTAGACCAATATCCCTGATGAACACTGATGCAAAAATCCTCAATAAAATACTGGCAAACCGAATCCAGCAGCACATCAAAAAGCTTATCCACCATGATCAAGTGGGCTTCATCCCTGGGATGCAAGGCTGGTTCAACATACACAAATCAATAAACGTAATCCAGCATATAAACAGAACCAAAGACAAAAACCACATGACTATCTCAATAGATGCAGAAAAGGCCTTTGACAAAATTCAACAACCCCTTCATGCTAAAAACTCTCAATAAATTAGGTATTGATGGGACGTATCTCAAAACAATAAGAGTTATCTATGACAAACCCACAGCCAATATCATACTGAATGTGCAAAAACTGGAAGCATTCCCTTTGAAAACTGGCCCAAGACAGGGATGCCCTCTCTCACCACTCCTATTCAACATAGTGTTGGAAGTTCTCGCCAGGGAAATCAGGCAGGAGAAAGAAATAAAGGGTATTGAATTAGGAAAAGAGGAAGTCAAATTGTCCCTGTTTGCAGATGCCATGATTGTATATCTAGAAAACCCCATCATCTCAGCGCAAAATCTCCTTAAGCTGATAGGCAACTTCAACAAAGTCTCAGGATACAAAATCAATGTGCAAAAATCACAAGCATTCTTATACACCAACAACAGACAAACAGCCAAACCATGAGTGAAGTCCCATTCACAATTGCTTCAAAGAGAATAAAATACCTAGGAATCCAACTTACAAGGGATGTGAAGGACCTCTTCAAGGAGAACTACAAACCACTGCTCAATGAAATAAAAGAGGATACAAACAAATGGAAGAACATTCCATGCTCATGGGTAGGAAGAATCAATATCATGAAAATGGCCATACTGTTCAAGGTAATTTATATATTCAATGCCATCCCCATCAAGCTAACAATGACTTTCTTCACAGAATTGGAAAAAACTACTTTAAAGTTCATATGGAACCAAAAAAGAGCCCGCATCGCCAAGTCAATACTAAGCCAAAAGAACAAAGCTGGAGGCATCACGCTACCTGACTTCAAACTATACTACAAGGCTACAGTAACCAAAACAGCATGGTACTGGTACCAAAACAGAGATATAGACCAATGGAACAGAACAGAGCCCTCAGAAATAATGCCGCATATCTACAGCTATCTGATCTTTGACAAACCTGACAAAAACAAGAAATGGGGAAACAATTCCCTATTTAATAAATGGTGCTGGGAAAACTGGCTAGCCATATGTAGAAAGCTGAAACTGGATCCCTTCCTTATACCTTATAAAAAATTAATTCAAATGGATTAAAGACTTAAATGTTGGACCTAAAACCATAAAAACCCTAGAAGAAAACCTAGGCAATACCATTCAGGACATAGGCATGGGCAAGGACTTCATGTCTAAAACACCAAAAGCAATGGCAACAAAAGCCAAAACTGACAAATGGGATCTAATTAAACTAAAGGGCTTCTGCACAGCAAAAGAAACTACCATCAGAGTGAACAGGCAACCTACAGAATGGGAGAAAATTTTTGCAATCTACTCATCTGACAAAGGGCTAATATCCAGAATCTACAATGAACTCCAACAAATTTACAAGAAAAAACAAACAACCCCATCAAAAAGTAGGCGAGGGATATGAACAGACACTTCTCAAAAGAAGATATTTATGCAGCCAAAAGACACATGAAAAAATGCTCATCATCACTGGCCATCAGAGAAATGCAAATCAAAACCACAATGAGATACCATCTCACACCAGTTAGAATGGCGATCATTAAAAAGTCAGGAAACAACAGGTGCTGGAGAGGATGTGGAGAAACAGGAACACTTTTACACTGCTGGTGGGACTGTAAACTAGTTCAACTATTGTGGAAGTCAGTGTGGTGATTCCTCAGGGATCTAGAACTAGAAATACCATTTGACCCAGCAATCCCATTACTGGGTCTATACCCAAAGGATTATAAATCATGCTGCTATAAAGACACATGCACATGTATGTTTATTGTGGCACTATTCACAATAGCAAAGACTTGGAACCAATCCAAATGTCCACCAATGATAGACTGGATTAAGAAAATGTGGCATATATACAACATGGAATACTATGCAGCCATAAAAAAGGATGAGTTCATGTCCTTTGTAGGGACATGGATGAAGCTGGAAACCATCATTCTCAGCAAACTATCGCAAGGACAAAAAACCAAACACCGCATGTTCTCACTCATAGGTGGGAATTGAACAATGAGAACACATGGACACAGGAAGAGGAACATCACACACTGGGGCCTGTTGTGGGGTGGGGGGAGTGGGGAGGGATAGCATCAGGAGATATACCTAATGTTAAATGACAAGTTAATGGGTGCAGCACACCAACATGGCACATATATATACATATGTAACAAACCTGCATGTTGTTGTGCACATGTACCCTAAAACTTAAAGTATAATAAAAAAAGAAAAATAGGAATAATAATATCTTCTCTTAAGTAGACCATATGAAAATTTGAACAAAAAAATTTGTGAAATCACTAACACAATTCCTAGCACATAATACACAATTACTGATAGCATTTCTTTTTTACTCTAGACGATTTCTTTCTAGAATAGTATTCAATTTGGTTCACAGTACTAATACATTTACTGCTGACAGATATTATGAGAAACTTTGATTTTTGCTGAACTCATCTTACATCTGTCTAGGCAATAAGAGTGATGTGTGCCTGCTAAGTCTTGGTATTCTCATGGACAAGAAAGGTAGTATTTGCATGCCAAGTGTATTATATTTGGTTATCTCATTATTTCTCACAATAATCATGTGAGGCAGGAACCATGATTCTTTCGATTCTTTAGATGAGAACCTAAGGGTAAAATGTTTCCTAAGGTTACATAGGCAGTCAAGTGGTGGAAGGAGCATTCAAATATGTGAAATCTGAAGTTAGATAATAATCACCAACTTTTAGTATCTCTCAGGCTGTATGTTAATTTATTTAAATTACATGGTTGAAGGGGAAACAGCATTTAGAGGGTAGAGAATAGGGAGGAAGCATGTGCCTGGGGCTCACACTATGGAGAGAGAAGAGGGGGAGCTCAGTGAAGTTTGTGGTTTGCATTTATGCACCTGCAGGACAACAGAAACATCTGATTCAAGAACGCGGGTCTCCTGGCTGAGTTGGCAGCCATCGCGTCTGTATACACTGCATGCATTTGAGTCGCAGTCAAAGTCTGCTCATGATTATGTCTTCTGATCCCAGAGTGTGAAAACGAAATCCAGATTCTTGTAGCTAACATATTACACTCCAAGTTAGATATCCATTGTAACAAGGAGAAGACAGTGGGATTAAATATCTACTACGTCTATGGCAACAAACTGTTCTGCCATGAGGCTTTTGGCCAAAATCAGCAACTGATCTGGAGATCACTGTTGTGCAGAATTTGAACTTGATGGAGTGTGAGGTAGTCCTAGTACTTAGTGTTTAACTCACTTAATCCTCACACAAATTCTACATGATAGTACTATAACCAACTCTGCTTAGATGAGGAAACTGAGGCAGGCAGATCTGAAACATCCCTCACATTAGTCAACAATGGGTTTGGGCAGGATTGAAGCTGGGCAGTTTGATAGTACAGCCTGGTCTTCTAATCCCCACAGAACACTCATGCGTGGGGAGGAAAGTACCTGGTCCTTGGCCCTTTAAATTAATGAAATTATCATGACACTCACACACATATGAGCACACTCATGCACCTTCACACTTTACTTTTGCCTCAAGGATGTGGGTAGTTTTAGAATTTAAAAAAAAAAAGTGGTTCCCAGGACTAGGGGCAGGATATGAGGGGGAGTTATTATTTAACGGCATGGAGTTTCAGTTGGGGAAGATGAGAAATTTCTGGAGCTAGATGGCGGTGATGGTTGCACAACAATATAAGTGTACTTAAAGCCACTGAACTGTCACTCAAAAATTGTTAAAATGATCAATTCTATGTTGCGCATATTTATCACAATGACAAAAAGTAGGAGTTAAAGAAGAGAAGTTAAATGAGGGTTATCCAACCCAAAGTGTTGACTGTGCCAATGCTGAGAAACTCTGGGTTACAGGGTTAAACAGGTGAGTCTTATAGAGGTGACCAGATGAGTGGCAGTGTTCTGCTACACCGTGAGTTGATTTAACTGGTTTTATTTTTAGACCTTGAGTTTTGTTGTTTGCTATTTTATCTTTCCCAGAGAGAATATAAGATAGAGTTCTGTTAAGCTCCTGGGAAATTGAGCAGGTTCTAAAGGAAGAGTGTTTGTTTCTGTAGCACTTTGAATTTCCATGGCTTGTAATACAGTTTTCAATAAATAAGGATAGTAATTGTGGCCAGATACAGTGGCTTCTGGCTGAAGTGGCCTTGTCATCTCTCAGTGTTTTTTGCGAGAAGACCGATATATAGACAATATTATCTTTTCTAGATTATTCAGAATTACAGAATAAGCTTTAAGTGAGAACAGAATTTCAAATTTAGATGATAATTTTTGCCCACTAATCAATAAGGTGGAAAAAGAGGACAAAAACTTTGAAAATAACTAAAACCCAAAACTGAGGCATTCAGGCCTCTGTCCATAAGGATTCCATCTCTCAGTGAATCAAAACCTTACCCTTGAAGGTCAAAGTTTTCATACCAACCAAGATAAATAAAACTATTAATTTTTTTCAAAACATCTGTTAGAAATATCACTCCACATACCTGCTGCTTTTAAAAAATCCAGTCTTAAAAATGGAAAATAAAATTTAATACTGTGTTATTACTTACAGTTGTAATTGGCAGAGTTTCTAGCTGCCTTCTGAATTTTCAAGCACCACCCAGACTTGTTTTTCTTTCAAAAAGGATTTTTCCCTTAAGGTGTTATGAAGATCTCCAAGTAGAATTGCACGCAGTCCTGTGAAGGATAGATGTTATTTTTTTCACCTCCAGTTTGATTTTTTTAATGCTAACTTTGTAATTTGCCACAAAGAAAAAGTTCTGTATATAATATTGGTATTCTGTTATAGGATTTACACCACACATATTTGTATGGGCCTGTGCCTGGGAATCTTACCTAAATCCTTTATCCCTGCAGTTCCCACTGAGGACTTTATCTTTAGATCCAAAGTGCTAGAAAATCTTCTGTGATATTTAAACTTTTAGTCTGTGAAGCTGCTAATGTTGATAATAATGCAGATATATAAGAAAAAGCCAAGCAGAGTTTTAAAAATATTTTTGAGAGACCCAAACTATTTCTAGAAGTCTCAGCGGCCTTTCATTAATCCATTCAACAAATATATGATGAGCACCATTTGTTTGCCAGACACTGTTTTGGACAACAGAAAAAACAGAAGTGAACAAGACAAGATTCAGCTCCGCCCTTGTGAAATGATTTTTTTGCAATGGAGTCAGACCTTATACCACCAGTTTGAACAATAACTCATTAAACTTTGAATGAGTTCTCCTTATTAAGTACTTCAAAGAGAAGTATGAAAGTTTATCTGGAAGATTAAACTTGGAGAAATGGATGTTTGAGCTTAGTGCCACCCATGGCCCCAGGCAAGAGTCACCACAACCAGCACTTCAAAGAAGCCCACACCTCCATTCTAGACCAGGCTCGGGGTGCCCTGTACCTCTGAATTACTGAAAGCACCTCAAGCCTCTTCCCTGGGTCTATCATGCCAGTGGGAACTAAGACAAATAGGTACACCCCAAGGCTTCAGGGTGATGACCAAGAGAGGTTGCTTGCAGTGTGTGTATGTGTGGATTTTGACGTACACACTGGGATATTCACAAGCTCTTCCTTTCATGATGAGAGAAGGAGCCAAGGATGGGGAAAGTAGAAAGATGAGGCTTCGGCCACAAGTCAGGAGTCCCTGTTCTTACACCACAGCACTCCCATGTGAAACTGCATGGAATCTGAGAAGTCTAAATTCTGTCTATAGCATGTGTTTCCATTTGCATTCTTGCTTCCAGCCCTAAAAATGTTAGGGGTGGGGCCATCTGATCTGGGCTTTGCAAGACAAGTTGAAACTAAGCAAGAAGAAAGCCTCTACGCAGGAGGCCCACACGTGTCAGGGCTCTGAGGTAGAGAGAAAATGATGTGTCTGAGGAACCGAGAGGCACACAGAGAGGCTTGACTAAAGAGCAGTACAGGGCCAGAAGAAAAGCCTCCCCTGCAGGACAGCCTTAGGAAGCAGCATATTTTATGCCCATAAATGAAGGTCTCCATAGCATATTTTTGAGTAGGTGTGAAAAATTATAAAAAGATTTGCATTGCTATGCTGTAATTTCAACATAATATGTACAAAAAATTGAGACAGATGTTTTTAAAATACTTTTCTTTCAAATTCTGAATGATCAGCATCCCGTTATCACAGTTCTTTTGGACAAATACCATAAATAGGATGGCTTATAAACAACAGAAATTTATTCACAGTTTTGGAAGCTTAGAAGTCCAAGATTAAGATGCCAGCATACTCAGTGTCTAGTGAGGACTCACTTCCTGGTTCACAGATGGCACCTTGTCACTGTGTCCTTGTGGTGGAAGACACAAACACTTCCTGCTTCTTTTATAAGGACACTCATTCCATTTAGGGCGGGTCTCCTCCCATGACCCAATCATGTCCCAAAAAGGCCCCATCTCTTAATATCATCAATTTGTGGATGAGGATTTCAACACATGAATTTTGGGGAACACGCATGCAGACCATAGCACCCATTATCTTCGTATTCCTATGAAATGTGAACAGTCATTTCCCATGTCCCCCGAGTCTCAGGCCTAGGATGTGGGGTCTGTTCCCCTCCACTACTCCAGCTGTTTTTACATTGAACAAATATTCATAATATTCATTCATCTCTTTACTCATTTAATTCAGCCATAGTTTATTAAGCTGCAATATAGGAATGATAATATATTAATAGAGAGGTGGGAAGGATGAAATAAATTTTTATATGTGTATGTGTATATATATTTATATATAAATTTCTACATAAATATTTAATGTTTAATATTTTAATTTATCAATATTTTAATACTTAATATTTATAAAGATATATAAATAAATTTATAATGTATATAGTATAATTTTTATATAATATTGTTTTATATTATATATTTTAAAATTGTATATAATTACATATATTAACATATACATTTATACATAATATATATGAACATATAAATTATATTATATAAATTCTCATATGTAAATTATATATAATATATATTTATATAATATAATTATATATTATACATTTATATGGAAATTATGTATGATTTATAGGTTATTTATATAATTTTATATAAATTATAAGTTTATATATAAGCAAATTTATTTTTATATAAATATACATATTTACACACACACATATATATTGCTTAGAACAGCACTAGGAAACCACTAGGCACACAATAGGATGATATGCACCAATTAGCAGGAAAATTCTTAAGAACAAGAATTACTTGTTCTTAAGACCAGAAAGGAAAAGACAGCTACACTACTTGACCAAAGGGATGAAGGCATGGAGTAGAATGCTGTGTTAGGGAAGAATGAGCCATCAGTGTGACAAAGAATGGCTGGGTCTAGTGTTGGGAGATGGGCCTGATAGGAATGAGATTAAGGAGGGACTTGGATCCCATGCTAAGGAGTTGGGCTTTTATTCAGCAGGGCAGTGTTTCTCAAAGTGTGGCCCTCGGACATTAGAATCCCCTGTGTGGCTTCTTAAAAATGAGGACCCCTGCCTCCTATTCTCCACCCCAATAATGAGTTGGAATGTAAGGCCTGGGACATTTTAACAGGCTTTCCAGGTGATTCTTGTTTATAGTCATGGTTGAGATACTGAGATACCATGAAGAGTCAAAGTACGTTTTCTAAACATATAGTTTGTACAATAAGCTTTGTCTTAGACAAGTGGCTGGCTATACCCATACATACTATGGGCAGTAGCAAGAAAGCTCCTCTTCCAGAAGAAAAACATGTATTTGTTACAGAAGTGTGAGTTTCCCTTTAAGAAAATAAATTCGTGTAAGATGCTTGTTGCCAGATATGTTAAGCCAAAGGGGAAAAAAATCTCAAAGCAAATACACTTTTTGCTAGCAAAATATGTTCCCTCATTGTTCCCTAAGATTCTGACATTTGAGGGAAAAAAGATACTAAATTCTCCTAGAAATAATAAGACTTGTTGGTTTTTCTCTATTATGCAATACAGACCTCTAACCTAAATTAACCTCAAGGTTAATTTACACTTTAGGTAATAGAAATTACAAAACAATGGCTGGAATGAAAAATGATAATGTTTCACATTTCTATGAGTTAATTTCAATGAAAATGCAACATTATCAAACCTTCTTTAAGAGATGCATCATCCTAAAATGTTATATATTGCTCAATACAAGCTCCTGTGTTTAATATTTTTACAGTTTTACGATTTCCTTCCCCATGAGCTTGACTATTTAATAAAGAATTAAAGACATTTTGCTAAAACCTAAACATATCACAAAGTTCTTTGTTAATTATTACCCTTTGTAAGATGGATCATCACCTTTCATAATATGGAATATGTATAAAAACATACATTTTCAAAGTGTGTTTAACAATATGGGACTTTTACAAATTATAAGAATTTAATATATTTGTATTAATGATATATTTATGATCTTTAGCTTATAAAAAATAGATCCCCAAGTGTAGATTAAAGATTAGAAGAACATAAAATAGTAGTTAACCCTGTGATCCTAGGGATGGTGATATTATGGATTTTTACCTCCTGCTTTGTGCTTTTCTGTAATTTGAAAACTTCTAAAATAAAGTTACCTTAGTTTTATAACTTTAAAAAGGCCCCAAATGTGCATAACGTGGCGGGGAGCAAGATGCAAGGAGCAGAGATGAGACGGAGCAGTGGCGTGGTGAATAGCTTGTGCGGGGAGAAAGATGAGAGCTCCCCCAGCCAACTGCAGAAACCCCTTCTCCCTCTTTGTGCTCCTGTATCTTCGTTGAGAGGGCCCATCCTCCACTAAACAGGGAGTTCCCTGAGGTCAGCAACTGCTTAGAAACTGGTACCTTTAAGATAACACCGAATCTGGCCCAGAGATGTTCCATAGCGGCTTGCTGTAACTGGTCTCCAGTTCTTCAGAAGCTTCCTCTGACATCCCATCTGGCTGAGTCAAGATTTCTGGGACTCTGGATCCTGCTGTTTAAAGATGGCTACCTCACTTTGTGAGCTGATTGCCAGCCCCCGCAGGGTGAAGAGAAATGATCTCATGTTCCACTCCAGAGAGCTATAGACAGGGCTAGCTAACCAGGTGTTAGGATCCAAGGAGAGGGCTCCCTGCTCTGAAATATCCACATGGGTTCCTGGCATTTTACCATCATAACTTCATTCCTTTGGGGGTTGAATTCTTGTAACAATCCCTATTAAAATGCAAATGCCTCTGGGAGGCGTTAAGCCCTTGTCAGCAAACACCTTGCTTATTAGCTAACACCTGAGCCAACAGCCATCTGAGAGCACGTGCCTATTGGGAAATCAGTTCCTAGAGAGGTGGGGAAATAGAGGGGGCAGCTGGAGGACAGCTGAAGGACCTTAGGGTGATGAAGCTCAAACTGTCAGATTTCCAGGACTGGATCTGGCACTAGGAGTGGGTTAGGAATGTCAGTTGTCAGTGAGCACTCCAAACAGGTGGTGGAGAGGGTTGAAGGGGTCTATCTTTCTTGGGCCTGGTGGTCAAGGTACAGGCCCAGGTGGGGCATATGGCAGGTGGGTGTGCTCCTGGCCTGAGTGCCCTCAGCCTTCCAGGTAGTTTTGATACAGACAGGAAACAGGAAAATACTGGGTAGAAGAGGCCAGTTCCCCAGCAAAGGCCCTACCTTCAAGCCTGAAGACCCATGGTCTTAAATGAGGACAGGCATTCCTGTTTTCACGCCCAAAAAGTTGCCTTTTGGCCTGCCACACCCCCTATGCTGCACCCATATACATCCCGAACCCCAGGCTCCAGAAGCCGACCATCAAGCCAGCAGACCAGCAGAGGGATGGTGGAACAACACAACAGAGAAAGACAGAAGAGGAGGATCGTCTGAATGCCGAGAGGAGTCTGGCTGGGTTGGTTAGAGAGGAGTCCAGCCACTGGGTGGCCTGACTCCAGGGGAAGATTACCATCCCACTCCAACCCCCGCTTTCGGTTCCCCATCCATTCCACTGAAAGCCACCTCCACCACTCAATAAAACCTCACATTCACCCTTCAAGCCTGAGTGTGACCCAATTTTTCCAGGATGCTGGGCAAGAGCTCAGGATACAGAAAGCTGTCACACTGGTCTTCTGCCTTTGCAAAAAAGCAGAGGGTCCATTGAGCTGGCTAACACTCAAGCCATCTGTAGATAGCAAAGCTGAAAGAGCTTTGTAACTCTGGGGTTGCAAGCACCCACCCCTAGACACTACCTCGGGGCCAGAGCCCAAAGCACTCCCCCTGCCTCTGCACCTGCCTGTCTGCATGCTCCCCCTCCGGCTAGGGGTTTGATAGGCAAGTGAGCCTGTCCTATAGGCAGGTGAGCACGTCCTGCAAGGGGGATCAGGGAACTCTCCTATTTCAGTTTTACTTTCTTGTCAAGTCCCATACATAAATACAGGATTTCAAAATGTATTGAGAGAGGGTTTTTTCATATTTTTATTCTTTTTAAATAAGATTGTGGCTTTTTGAGTCATACGCATTAAGTTTCAGTGTTTGGTTAGTGCTGCACCTCAGCG
The DNA here is from genome assembly GCF_000001405.40 of Homo sapiens. Classification (NCBI taxonomy): domain Eukaryota; kingdom Metazoa; phylum Chordata; class Mammalia; order Primates; family Hominidae; genus Homo; species Homo sapiens. The sequence goes on along the minus strand of NW_017363814.1, from coordinate 56,827 downwards.
TTCAAATTAATAATATGTCAGCTGTTTACTCCTTTGCCTTCCATCAATCAAATAACACACGTTTACCTCCTGTCATTTCTTTTCAAACACCGAAACCTGCATTTCCTAAGTATTTTTTAAACTGTTCCCTGAAAGCCTTCCTGTTGGTCTGTGTCTTTGTGGAAATCCCACGAATATAGAGAAAGACGCTGAATTTTCCTACTTTCATATTATTCGTCACCACAGGAGAGCTAAATGGCACTCTGGATTAAGATTGCATGAATAGTTTTCAAATATTTGGGGTTCAAAAAACCCAAAATGTGTTTTGCCAAAACATTTGCTTTCCTCGTTTTTTTAAGCCTATGTTTATTTCAAGGAGCATTAATTCCATGTGTTTTTAATGCATTTACACTCAGTTCATTAAAATGCTACTCTCTAACATGTTTTTGGCGTCCGAGAGCCCCAGCAGGCCCTTCTACTTTGAGCGGGTTGGTGTGCTGGGCGCCCGAGCGCAGAAGCGGGAATGGTTCACGCTCAGCCCTTCCCGGACCCCACTAGGTCCAGGCCCTGCCGGGTCTGGCACGGCGCACTGCCACCCCAGGCCCTGGCGCCAGGGTGCCGTCAGACTCTGCTGGGCACAGGGACCAATTATTAATAGTAGTCAGGAAGGTCCTTGCCATTTTAGCGCTTGGGTCAGAACTGAGTGTTTCGAAATTCCAGCCCTGCCTCCGTGAATCTTGGTAACCCTGAGGACTTGAGAGCCAAGCCCCCTGCAGCCCACATGACCCTATTAAATATCAATATTGAGACCAAGGGGGTGATTAGGAGCGGAGAATACCTCCATTGTCTCTGTTTCGGTAGCAGTGGGGAATGAATCCAACCTTGAGAAAAGTGAATGCAGAACTGGAATCTGAAATTGCTTAGTAAGTAGCAGACGGTACCCTTGATCCGTCCTTTCGCCATTTTCTTCGGGATGCATTGGCCTATCCCAAATGGGATGGTATTTCTGAAAGGCGTGGAGTACAGATAGGACTGTAGGAAGAAGGATGACTGGTGCTGCTGGACTAGCTCAGGGTAGACTCTTTCCAAAATTAAACATCTCCATGCGTGTTTCTGGTGGTTTTCCACATGTCAACCACTGGACTAAATTCCCTACATATTCTCCGCACTTTGCAATTGAGCAAAATGAGGTGCAGAAGAAAGGGACTTGCCTCAGGTCCTCAGCAGCACCACAGTCATGGTGGCTTTGCTTTGACGCTCTCACACCTGCTACATTGCTGTCTCCCAGGAGAGTCCAGGCCAGATGCTGCTCCTACCTTCACATGAAAGAGCTGAGTCGCTCCCCTTTAGCAGAGAGCATTCCTGGAGGAAAGGCAGTTACTTTGCTAGGGCTTGGGAGGTGCACAGTGCTAGGAAGGGAATTTTCAAGCGTTCTTCCATCATAGCATTAGAAGGGACTCGACACCATTTTGTCTATCTACCCTCAACTCCTTCTCCATTCCAAGAAGAATAATGTGCTCCAGTTTCTTGTGTCCCCTCTTGAAGTGTGGGCCACAGAATGGAACACAACACTCTAAATGTGGTCTAGCCAGCACTGAAGGGTAAGACTGCCTGTTCTACTTTCAACACTCTCAGTCTACTAACAAAGCCGCAGTTTTGACTGTTTTTCAAACCCACTCATTATGTGGTTACGTCATTGTGCTGTAGCCTCATATTGAATTGCCAGTTAACAAACACACTTACTTTTGTATTATTTATTTGCTTATTTACTTCTTTTCTCATTTCCTCCATGCATCCACCTCAGTTAGGGTCGAAATGCTCCTTAGCTATGTGTGCTGAGTTTCTGGTGGTCTCATCTCCACTGGGTCTGGGCACCCGTTGCTTTTAAAGTTCTTTCCCTTTTGTGGAGAATACGGACTTGGGCAGGAGAAGAGTGGTGCTGTTTTAGAGGTCTCTTTACACCTCTATTGTCCTTGTTACGAGCGCCATAATTTCTTGTTTTCAATCAACGCTTTTAAAAATGTCTCTTTTTAAATTTCTCTGGTATTTTTAGAAAACTTCAGCCCACTCTGATGCTGTGCTTAGCTGGCGTTATTATCAGAGAACATGCCAGGATTTTATAGCCACAATTTTGGGACCCTCCTTCCACCTTTTAGGCTAAGTCCTTTCCCAGTTTCTCAAAGAGCACCCTGGGAAAACCTGCTGCTTTCTCGAGTCTTTTTCTCTTTTTTCACTCTTCAAGTTTAAAGGTCAGAATTTTGCCTGTCAGAACTTTCCATACCTCTTGGGCATCTACCCTTTTGAGTCTCTGGCTATGGAATTATCCAACTTTTTACTGACTTTTTTGAAACTACTTTCCCAAACTCCAAGTTAAGTCTGATGCCTAACACATCCATTTCTGGGCAGAATCATTCAGTGATAACCTTTTCACACTTTTCTACAGTTCCCATTATTTCCAGATACCACCCGAATCTATGTTATGATTCAGATTTAAAACCAAGTAGCAATTTCAATTATTGCTTTCTCTCTGTGGTGAGAAAAATAACAAACTTAACAAAGGCTGCGCATTGAGCAAAATGAGCCTTTAAGTAGATGTCCAAATCGATGAAGCTCTTTGTCTCTACTGTGAGGTGCTTCAGTGATGGTGTTACAATTTACAGAGGAATGTCTTACCCATTTTCTAGAGATTGGCTGGGCTGCCTGAATTTACTCCCTCAGTAAGGTTTTTCCTATTTGCTTTTTTAAAAAAATTGTCTTCCAAGTATTCTCCAAAATTATTCCATGTAAAATCTCACAGAATCACTGACCTCCAGTAGTGGCCCAGAGTTTGAAGTAGGGGATCTTGGTGCATAACCACCCTTGCCTCTTCTTTACATTGGATGTAGCAATATTTACCTCACATAGGATGCTGGGAGCATTAAGCAAAGCAATGGTAATGGCTAGGCAAGGGGCCATGCAAACTAGAAAAAGAGTAGCACAAATGTTTGCAGTGATTTTTACTGAGTTATTATTACTCTGCCTCTTCAGTGAAACATGTCCATGGAATGAGACACACCTCATCTTTACAACATTCCAAAGCTGAGTCTTATTCTATTTCTTATAATAAGACTTAGAATAAAACTTTCTTATTCTTATTCTTATTTACTATTTGTAAAACTCCATTTACCATCCTGTATTAGATTATCAAGTTTTCATTGTCGATTAGACCTAATCAATACATTAGATAATAAATAAAGAAAAAAAGTTTTTAAGACAGGAAGCCTCTTTTATTTTGGAGCACCAAGCACTAGGCACATACCGCAATCAGGCTTTCAGTGTTTAGGGAATATAACTTTTTCCTCTTCACTCTGTAGTGATCTGGTCTTTGCCTACACACAATGAAGCTCTGCATAAGAAAGGGAACTAACCATATGTGATTGGCCACCTATAGGTCGAAAAAATAATCATACATTCATTTTAATATCAACCAAACAAGGAGAAATAGGAAGAGAAAATTATTATGTAGCACACAACTTAGATTTCCATACTTAAAATCCTATTTATTCTTAAATATGTTTATTAAGATATAACTCACATATCAAGGAATTCACCTGTTTAAACTGGACATTTCGATGGTTTTAGCATCTTCACAGATATGTGTGACCATTACCACAATCTAAGTTTAGAATGTTTTCATCACCCCAAAGGAAATGCCACAGCCATCACACTAGCAGTCCCCCCTTATTCCCCCCAACTCTCTCCTCCACAGCCTGAGTCACCACTAATCTACTTCCTCTAGATACAGATTTGTGTATTTCAAACATTTCATATTATTGGAATCATGAAATATGTGAGGGTTTTGCAGCTGGCTTCTGGCCTTTTTCACTTTTCAAGTTTCACCTATGTCATACCATGTGTCAAAACTTCATTTCATTTCAGGACAATATCTCATTGTACAGATATAGCACATTTTATTTTATTTATGCATTTATCAATTTAAGGTGGTCCCCAATGTTTGGTTATTATTCATAATAATTATTATTGGATATTATTATTCATAATAACCAAACATTGTTACGAACATTCATATATGATGCTATGAATTTTCATGTACAAGTCTTTTGGGGTTGGATGTTTTCATTTCTCTTAGATAGAAACCTAGGAGTAAAGTTGCTCAGTCACATGATAATTCTCCATTGCCAAGCTGTTTCCAAAATGGCTGCACCATTTTACATTCCCTCCAACAAATTTATGAGGGTTCCAATTTCTCTGCATCTTGTGAATATTTGTTCTTGTCTGTCTTTTCTATAACAGTCAACCTAGTGTATGTCAAGTAGTGTCTCATTATGGTTTTAATTTCAATTTCTCTAATTATTAATAATAATGGGTATTTTTATGTGCTTATTGGCTGAATATCTTCTTTGGAGAAATGTTTATGCAAATCCTTTGCCCACTTTTTAATTGGGCTTTCTTTTTATTATTCAGTTTTAAAATTTCTTTATATATTCCAGATACAGGTCCCTTATCAGATACATAATTTGCAATCCTTTTTCATTCTGTATATTGTATTTTCACTTTCTCGATTTTATCACTTTATTACAAAATTTGCTTAATTATGATGTAATTCAACTCAGCTGTTTCTCCTTTGGTTGCTTTCAATTTTGGTGCCAAATCTTAGAAATCACTGCTTAATCCAAGATTATCAAAATTCACTACTGCTTTTTTCTAAGAGTTTTACACTTTTAGCTCTTAAGTGTTTATCTTTTATCCATTTGATTTAATTTCACAATATAAAGTTAATCCAGTTTCATTCTTTTGCATATGGATATATAGTTGTCCCAATGTCATTTGTCGAAAAGACTATTACTATATGTTGAATTGTCTTAGCATCCTGTTGAACATCAATCAACCATAAATGTAAGTGTTTTGTTTCTAGACTCTCAATTCTATTGCATTGATATTTATATCTATCTTTATGCCAGCACTATGTCTTGATTACTGTAGCTTTGTAGCAAATGTTGAAGGTCAGAAGTGTGAGTCCCGCAATGTTGTCTTCTTCACAATTGTTTTGGCTCTTCTTGGTTTCTTACATTTCCATATGAATTTTATGATCAGCTTTTCTATTTCTCCAAAAAAAAAGCTATTTGGATTTTTATAGGGAACACATTGAATCTGTAGATTAATTTGGGAAGCATTGCTATCTTAACAATATTAAGTCTTCTAATCCATGAACATGAGGTATCTATGTATTCAGATGCTGAATTTCTTTCAACAGTGTCTTGTAAGTTTTTCATGTACAAGTCTTGAACTTCTTTTGATAAATTTACTCCTGGGTATAGTATTCATTTTGATGCTATTTTAAATTGAATTGTTTTCTCAATTTCCTTTTCAAATTACTCATTGCCAGTGTGTAGAAAAACAGTTAATTTTATTGCTCATCTTGTATCCTGCAACTTGGCTGACCTGATTGATTAGTTTGAAGAGTTATTTCATGAATTCTTAACATTTACCATATACAAGATCATATCATCTGTGAATAAAAATAGTTTTAGGCTGGGCGCAGTGTCTCATGCCTGCAATCCCAGCACTTTGGGAGGTCGAGGCAGGCAGATCATGAGGTCAGGAGATTGAAACCATTGTGGCTAATGCGGGGAAACCCTGTCGCTACTAAAAATACAAAACTTAGCCAGGTGTGGTGGCGGGCACCTGTAATTCCAGCTACTCGGGAGGCTGAGGCAGGAGGATCACTTGAACCCGGGAGGCGGAGATTGCAGTGAGCTGAGATTATGCCATTGCACTCCAGCCTGGGCAACAAGAGTGAAACTCCATCTCAAAAAAAAAAAAAGAAAAAGAAAGAAACAGTTTTATTTCTTCCTTTCCAATCTGATGTTTTTTATTTATTTTTCTTGTCCAGATGACCTAGCTAAGGCATCTGATATAATGTTGAATGGAATTGGTGAAAGCAGATGTTCTTGTCTTGCTCCTGATCTTAGCGAGGAAGCATCTAGCCTCTCACATTAAGTATGATGTCATATCTAATTTTTGAGACATACTCAAAAGCAAAGAAAAGGAAGGTCATCTTATTCCAGGAATTGTAGCTCTCCACTTAGATGTTTTGAGAACTCTCCTAGCTGAAGTCAGACCCCTTAATATTGTTTTATTGAACAATAATTGTAGTACTTTAAAGGCAAAGGTCCCATAAGACTGACATACATGACATAAATTTAAGCAACTCTTATTAATTTGTATTAAGTTAGCCTAAAGAATAACCTGTGTTCCTTCTAGACTTGTATAATTCAGGAGTCTGAGAGATTCCAGTGTCATAAAAATTGAAGGTAAAAGAGCAACACTCTTGCCTTTGCTTTTCATTTAAAGAAGAAAGCACATACTTAACTTTCACCAGAATGGAGAAAGCAAAAAAACTTTCTTGTTTTCAAACATAGCACTAAACACTGAATGAACATTCTCTCTGCCATATGATCATAAACCCATTTACACAGCAATTCTCTTTCTGCAGTTACAGAGGGAGTCAGATATCCTCAGCTACTTCAAGTTCATTCTTTGGTTATGCACTGAAGTTCAAGGAGTCTCTTGTCCATCCAAATTGGGGTTAATACCAGACCATCCAGTCTAATTTGCTTTCCTATTCAACTGCAAAGAAAATCTCCTGGTCAAAAGAAAATGCAATGTGGATTTCAGTCTTGCCTAGAAGTCTTTCCATTTTGCTTTACTAAGGCTTGTTCATGTTTAGTACTACATTAAGCAACTAATTAGATCAGAAATAAAAATAATCTGACTCTGGCCACCTATTTCCACCTTAAACCCTTTCCTTTCCAATTAAATATAACAAACATCTTTTGTGAGATTCTCAAGCCAATTTCCCTCCAAACGTTTTGATTTTTGTTTTTGTTTGCCTCCTCCCATCTTCCTCTATACCCCCCAGGAAAGAAAGAAACTTCAAATCACAGTCTAGAGCATGAAACTGATGCATGCATGGAAACCCCCAGAAGGAATTTGAGTGGAAGTACTCCAGGGTCCTTCCCCACAAGGCCAGATCTAGCAAATGTTTTCCAGATGTGGCTGCTCTTAACTCTACTACCACCAACTCAGCCCCTCTCCCACCTGCCCTCAGACCAGAAAGCAGTATCAAGACCTGCAGTCCAGCCCTCATCACCCCACAAGGGATTCCTAGAGGAGGTTATACTTAGCCTCTATTCCCTCCCTGCCATGTAGAAAAGCTCCCACAAAGCCCATGACACAGGTCATGAACTCTTGGTCTTGTTCTGATCACAGACCCTCACTTTGTGGTCTCTGTGGTCCAGCAGCATCAGTGGCATCTGGGCAGTTGTTAGAAATGCAGACCCTCCAGCCTGGGTGACAGAGTGAGACTTCCTCTCAAAAAAAAAAAAAGAAAGAAATGTAGAATCTCTGCCCCAGCCCAGACTTACTGATCAGAATTTGTATTTTTATTTAACAAGATCACCTGGTGATTCCCATGTACCTTAACGTCTGAGAAGGCCTACTCTGGAGCACTGGTTTCCAAACTTCAGTGTGCACCAGAATCCTCTGGTGGGCTTGTAGAAACACAGATTTCTGGGCCCTTCCTCCAGGGTTTCTCATTCAGAAGTCTGGGGTGGAGCTTGAGAATTTGCTTTTATAAGAAGTTCCCAAGTGAGGCTGATTTTGCTATCTGAAGTCTGAGGACTACACTTGGAGAGACACTGCTCTAGGGGCATCCCATCTCACCAAAGAGTAGGAGTGTTGAGAATTCTTGGAATCTAAAATATTGATTTATTTGCAAATTAATAGAAATATTCCATAACGTGATTGCAGCTGCCTCCTTTGTTTTCACTTTGCCACATTCTTCTGTTACTTGTTGGAAGACTGTTGGTCTTGTTTCCCTCTAACATCTCCCAACTCACATCACCCCACCATCCTGACCTGCCCTCCCTGGCCCCATGCTGGAACACTTCAGGAATCTGCAAAGCTCTGTCCAAACTGGCATTGCTGAGAAAGACTTTTCATCTCCTACCCCAGGCTGCCTCCCAGCGAGCCAGCCCTAGGACTGCCTGCTGCCACCCCTGCCTTGATCCGTCCAAGCCATTTCCCTCCATGCACAGCCATTTACAACACTCCTGAAGAGGAGGCCAGCTCAGTCCCTGCCTTTGTGTGCCTCTAAACTTCACACAGCTCCTTCCCCTTTTCTTGTGTAGCATAATCAGTTGTACTGTTTTTAAGAGATTTCAATCTCTGCCCCTGAATGAATTTTAACACAACTTTGGCAACTTACGGATTTGCCAGGAAGAACCTAGAGCAAGAGTTGAACATTGCTGGGATGCTGACTGATGCAGTTCAAAACTCTAGGATATAGCAATGAGCAATGCAGACAAATCTTGACCTTGCAGCATGTACACTCTGGTAAGAGGAGAAACAGCAACCTATTAACACATGCATGCATTTTATGTGGAAAGAACAAAGCAAGGGAATGACCAGGGAAGAAGGTTCTATGTGAACCCACATCATAAGGGAAGACCTGTCTGAGGGGTAATGTCTTAAAAGACATCTGAGTGAAGATCTAAAAGAAGAACTTTCCAAACAAGAAAGCAAGTGCAAAGGACCCAAGATGGCAGTGAACGTGACCTTTTAGAGAAGCAGCAAGGCCAGTGTGGCTGGAGTGGAGGTGATATGGACAGGGAAATACTAGGTAGAAGAGGGCAGTTCCCCAGCAAAGCCCCCATCCCCAAGCCTAGAAACCTGTGGCCCTAAATGGGAATAGGTATTCCTGTTTTTGAGCCCAAATGTTGCCTTTTGGCACAGCACAACCCCCTATTCTGTACCCATATAAACCTCAAACCCCAGGCTCCATAAGCAGATGAGCAGACGAACATAAGAGCAGAGGAACAGGAGAGTGGCACTGCAAAGAAGGAGAGAAGAGAAGGAGCATCTGAACGTTGAGAAGAGTTCAGCTGGGGATGGTTGGAGAGGACATCAGCCATGGGACAGCCAAACTCCAGGGGAAGATCATCTTTCCACCCCATCCCCTTTCTAGCTCCCCACCCATCCTGCTGAGAGCCACCTCCATCTGGCAATAAAATCCCCACATTCACAATCTTTCGAGTCTGTGTGTGACCTGATTCTTTCTGGACACTAAACAAAAACCCAAGTACCAACCAGGCAATGAGCTGGTTAACACTTAAGTTGTCTGCAGACGGCAGAGTTGAAAGAGCACTGTAGTACACCCACTCAGGCTTCAAGAGTCACAGGCACCAACCTGTAGACACTACCATGAGGCCAGAGCCCAAAAGCACTCGCCCTGGCTCCTGCTCCTGCCTGTCTGTGTGTTCCCCTTCCTGTAAGGGGTTCAGCACACAGTGCAGCAGCCACCCAAACAGACAAGCCACACCCCTGTCACACATCCTGCGAGGGGGTCAGGGAACTCTCCCATTTCAGAGGGGTGTGAAGATAGTGGTAGGAAGGCAAGTGGAGAGATGGACAGAGGCCAGGCAGTTTGAAGGGTTTGAATTTTATCTCAAGTATGTTGGTAAGACAGAGGGTTTCGAGTTGCAGTTTTACATAATCTGATTTCAAATTGTACAAGGTCACTCTGGCTTCTGTGTTAATTAAAATAATGACCTGCAGAGTAGAAATAGTTGGAAGGCTGAGGTGGGAGAATCACTTGAGCCTGGGAGGTCAAGGTTGTAGTTAGTTTGCCAGTGCACTCCAGCCTGGGTAGCAGAGTGAGACCCTGTTACTAAAAAGAGAGTGGAAGCAGAGAGACAGACAGTGTTCTAGACAAGACAGGGTGGCTGTTTGGCCAAGGGTAACAACAGTGAAGGAGGTGATTCATGGGTGAATTGAGGGATCCTTTGAATGCCGAGCTGACTAGACTTCCTGATGAATTGGATGTGAGAAAGAAAGAAGGCAGGGATGATCTGATGACCTGAGTGAAGGTTGGTATCATTTTCTGAGATGGAGCAGGAGCACAGCTGGAGGAGAAATTGAGTCAAAGAGTAAATTCTTTAGCTGAATGGACTCATGCAAATTAATTAACCCACCATCCATGTCAGATCCTGCTGCTCAAAGCTTAGGTTTAAACTGGGGCCCCTGCTATAAACAGAAGGCAAAATAGATGGAGTGGAGCTGAACAGAGTGGGGATGGGGAATGCTCATTGAAGAGTACCCCAAAAGCTCTTAATGAGCCCCCTGAGATTTGTCAGCCAACATGGAGGCTTTGCTCACCAATGAAGGAGACAGGATCTAGAAAGCCCCATGCTAAGAGTAAGTAAGAGACACAACATGGCCCATTAGGGTTGAGACCTGGCAAACCCCAGACATGCCCATTCAGAACAGATAGCCCCACCGCCACCCCTGGGCTGGGGTCCAGGGACACAGGGACATGGGAGACCAGGGCCTTTCCTGCCAGAGTCACCTCACATAGAACGTACGACAGCAGGTGCTCTGTGTGATCTGTCTAGACAGAGCCGTTCCAAAACCTTAGAAAAGAAAACAGAAACAAGCCTGAGCCTTCACCTTGGGGAACTTCCTGGAAATGCAGGGCAGGCATGTTTGCTAGAGTAATTTCCCCTACAGCACTGGAATCCTTGCACTGAGGGAATGGATTTCTTCCTGATGGGCTCTTTCTCTCTAATTTTCCTCGATGTATATCTTTTGCATAGGCAGCTTTTATTCTTGCCTGTCTCTGAGATCTTTTCTTACATATACCTTAGCGTGCCTATGGGACTCTCTTTGGAGGAGGACATGGTGTCTCTACCAAACCTTACCATTGCCTCTATTGCACTTCCTCTTTTTTGTCCCTCCTAAGGCTCCTCCTTGGCCCTTCTCAATCCCAGCCCCCATGTAGTCAGTCTCATTTATTCTCCTAGTAATTGTCCTCATCACTAGCCTTTCCTCCTCACAGAGTGGTCTTCATCAAAATGTAAAGAAGACCGTGTTCCTCCTCCTAGGGCACATTTTTCAAATGCACAGTTTTTTTCAAATGCACAAAACCAACCAATCCACAGCTCACACCCCTAAGCACCTTCTCTACCAGGCTCTCACACTCTGGGCCCCTGTCCACCTGCCCAAAACACCTCTGGGTCAAGAACTAGACAACTAGAGATAGCCCCTGTGCCCCAGAGTCACTGAAATCATTCAAACCAGCCAGTCCTACACCTGCTTCTCCTGCACGCCTGTTCCTTCCTGCAGGAGCCACAGTAGAGAATCTCACCCACAGCATCCCTTCTCTGCCTCCAGCCTCCTCCCAGTGCCTCCCTGTGTGGCCTGTGGCATGATGTGCCCTCCCTTTCCCGGGATCTGGGAGTATAGCAGACTGCCTTCCAATGGCTGTCATCTCTTGATCTGTTGGTCCTCTGGTGCTCTAAATGCTTTTGTTCCCCCCAAATTTATATGTTGAAATCTAGACCCCCAGTGTGATGGTCTTAGGAGGTGGGACCTTTAGGAGGTGATTAAGTCATGAGGGTAGAGACCTCATGAATGGGGTTAGTGTCCTTTACAAAAGAGACTCCAGAGAGATTTCTCACTCCTTCTGACTCATGAAGACACAGTGAGAAAACAGTCATCTGTGAATCATAAAGCAGGCCTTCACCACATACCAAATTTGCTGGTAACTTCATCTTAGATTCCCAGCTTCCAGGACTGTGAGAAATAAATGTTAAGCTACCCAGTCTATGCTATTTTTATTACAGCAGCTGGAGTGGCCTAAGACCATTGGTCATGCCATCCCTAAATAATAATGAAACCTATTAAAATACAGTATTGGCCGGGCGTGGTGGCTCATGCCTGTAATCCTGGCACTTTGAGAGGCTGAGGCGGGCAGATTATTTGAGGTCAGGAGTTCGAGAACAGCCTGAGCGACATGGTGAAACCCCGTCTCTACTAAAAATACAAAAAATTAGCAGGGCGTGGTGGTGAGTCCCTGTAATCCCAGCTACTCGGGAGGCTGAGGAAGGGGAATTGCTTGAACCTGAGAGGCGGAGGTTGTGGTGAGCCGAGATCGCATCACTGCATTCCAGTCTGGGCTAGAAAGCAAGACTCCACCTTAAAAATAAATAAATAAATAAAATAAAATACAGTCTACATTTTGATGAAGACCACTCTGTGAGGAGGAAAGGCTAGTGATGAGGACAATTACTAGGAGAATAAATGAGACTGACTACATGGGGTCTGAGATTGAGAAGGGCCAGGGAGGGGCCTTAGGAAGGACAAAAAAGAGGAAGTGCAATAGGGGCAATGGGAAGGTTTGGTAGAGACACCGTGTCCTCCTCCAAAGAGAGTCCAGCAGGCATGCTAAGGTAATCCTTAAGAAAAGATCTCAGAGACAGGAGGAGGAGGACTCCTACCAAAGGGTGTGGGGAGGTGACAAGGGAGGCAGAAACGCAGGGCGACTCAAGGGTATTATGAGGTTGTCCAGAACAGGGTGTGCCTAGCGTATGCACGTAGAGCAGGTTAAAGCATCAAGTTCACAGAAGCTAAAAACGGGCTAATGCAAGGCTGCAAGTCTAAACGTGCCTGGCAGTTTCTTTGGAACCCACCACCCTAATTTGCAACAGACACCCCCTAAGGCACCTTAAGAGGATCTGTTCTTTGACCAGGATCCTTTCACTGAAACTGTTCAGATCCCTCTTCTCATCACTTAGGTATAAGTAGTAGAGGTAGCTCCTCCTAGAATCCAGTTAGAGCAATGTTTTGATTTGTGTCAGTGTGTTTGTGCCACGGAAACAGATGTTCATCTGAAAGGCCCCAGGACATGGATATAGTGATGGAACCCTTGGAATTGCAGATAGACAGGCACACTAATAAAGGAGGTATTTTACAGAGGGGAAGAAATTTGTGGGACTGTCTATATCACACTAGGAAGGCAGTCACCTGCAGTCCACCCTGGCTATACAATTTTTATAATCATCTAGAGCATATAAAAAGTTTCTGGGTTTTTTTTTCTGTTTTTTACTTTTCTTCTTCTTCTTCTTCTTCTTCTTCCTCTTATTATTATTATTATTATTATTTGAGACAGGATCTCACTCTGTCACCCAGGCTGGAGTGGAGTAGTGTGATTTCTGCTCACTACAGCCTCCACCTTGCAGGATCAAGCAATCACCTCAGCCTCTCGAGTAGCTGGAACTACAGGTGCATGTCATCATGCCCAGCTAATTTTTTGTGTATGTGTGAAGACTAGGTACTATGTTGCCCAGGCTGGTCTCAAACTTCTGGTCTCAATTGACCTGCCACCTCGGCCTCCCAGTGTGCTGAGATTATAGACATGAGCCACTATGCCTAGCTGAAGCTTCTGTTTAAATGTGGCATTCTCCTACACAAAAATTATAGGCCAGTCATCAAGATACACATTCTGCCATCTAGGAATCTTAAGAAAGAAAGAGATAAGAGTGAGAGCAAGAGAGAGAGAAATTACACACACAGGCTACGCCATACCCTACAAACAAAGAAACTTGGTCTAAACTGCTCCAAAAGACAAGGGAACAAATGTTTGTAGAAAATATAAGAATATGCATTTCAGATAAACATAAGAAAAGTTTTTCTAATGTTAACTACCCCAAAAATGACGCAGGCTTCCTCACTAATGAGTGAGTTTCACATCTCATCATGCAAGGAACAGTTAAGCTAGCACAGCACGTTGAGGACAAACAGCAGAAATGGCTGGGGTGGAGGTGGGAGCACACAGAGCAACTTGGACCAGAGCAGCAGGGAGATGGGTGCAGGGAGGCCTGAGGGAAGTCGCTGAGGCCATAGCAACAGAAAATCCCAAACTGATTCACGGAGGCAGATAGGCATTCCAGATTAACTCACCTGGGCAATGGAATGGGGTACAGGACAGTTCATGGGATTGAAACTCAGGTACAAGCAGGTGAGGACTGGAGCAGCCTGATTCTAGTATTCATGTGGAGGTGACAATATTCATTGATGTAGACTGGTAAAATCTGGAGCCATTTGGGTTATAATAAATATCCTTGTAGCCGACACAGGCAGTAGAGACCCAAGTTGCTGGTATTCAGTCACTTTTAGGCTTAATTTACGTTTTCAAAATTGACTAGCTTGCATGGTTTACGTCACCTGCCATGGGATGTCGATGGCTGAGCCGGAACACCCATCACTACAAAGTGGGGACTGTTGCAGCTCACATGAAGGAGGAGAATGAGATGGGAGCTGTGGGACTCCAGAGATTGGACTTGGTGAAAGTTAGCACAAAGTGGATTTTAATTTAATATAAAAAGCAGTGTTCGGGCAGTTGGGTCTGTCTGGCAATGGAACAGGCTCACTTGTGTGGTCAATGGAAGTCCTCCTGGGTCAACTCAAGTACTCCAGCAGGCTCTGTACTGAGGGAGGGGGTGAAGCTAACTACATTCCAGCATCTTTCTGCCTCTTAGGCTTTTCTCTTTTTAACACCAAGGCTGGCAGGGATGACAATATGTTGTCCACATCATCTTCCTTAAAGCAGAACTGTAGCATTTCAAACGAGCTCTATTAGGCAGTCAGTGCTCTAAATTTATGAAGCTACCTTCAGTTGGAGCTGTCACAGCCTCTCTTCAGCAATTTATGCTAATATCAAATGCTCATTAACCTGTTATATTGATATTTAAGGGCATTTTTTGTTCCTTATGAAAACTATAGCTGATACCCACCATCATTAATATCCAAATGTTAGTATATCATAAACTCTCCTTTCTTTATTCACTCAATTTAAACTGAGTGATAAGCCTGGTTGTGATTAGCATTCTTCTACTCTTCACTCTCCAGGGCGCCTTTAAACAGAGGGGGTAGCAGGAATATAACAAGAGCATGCACCAGTTTTTGAGAGGCATCTCAATCTATTCTCAGTCCAGAGCTCTCTAGGTAAACGAGCTCTGGACTGAGAATAGACAGAATGAGATGTGAATTATTTAAAAGCAGGGACAGGTTAAGAACCATTCCAGGAGGCAGAATCTGAGAAGGCCCCTGTTGGCACAAAGGCCACAGCCTCTGACTGCTTTGAAAACACTGAGCCGAGACCTGACATTGGACTGTGCTTGCATAAGGAGGAGACATGCTGGGGGCAGGCCTGCCCCTTCCTAAAGCAAAGCAAGAGTAGGCAACTCCCTCCCTCACAGACCCTCTGGCCTGTGGTTCTGGATTTGCCACACCCTGTGGCATACAGGCCAGCATTGCAGAGCCATGGGTGGTTATCAGTTCCAGAAGGGTGGGACCTCAGAAATCATGCATTCTCATCTGGACCCTGGAGATCAGTGTTTACCGCCCTGGAGTGCCCAGTAGAACCAATTAGCAAGAGGACAAGTTTGGGAAGCCAGTGTGGTCTGCTTCCTGCAGGCAACTCGACTTGGAGAGCATGCCTACCTCCCCCAGGAAGTATCCAATGATCTTGTGTTCTTTGGAAATGTGATCTTGTCATGTGCATACTTTCATGCCACTGATTTAAGCCACAGCTTAAATCCGTCAAAAATGTTTCACCAAAAAAAAGTTCATAGTGTGGTTTGTGGAAGTTCTACTTAAACCTGAGCCAGTGATGGACTAACAGCTGCAGAGAGACTAGAAAGTGCTTCCAAGTCTACTTTTTAGAGCAATTTCTATTTCCAAGACCAAGAAGACTATTTTTTAAAACATATAAAAGCATTATCTCTTGCTCCTGCCCCCAAAGTAGTTCCAGGTAAAATTCTCTCCATTTGCCTGCATAAGCAAAACATCTTTAATACAGTTATACAAATGTGATTTCCTCACTGGTGAATATCACATTTTTGTGGGTTCACAAAAAATAAAACTGCTTTTCCTTTTGGCAGAAAATTGCTTATGAAAAGCAAAGGTGGTTTTGGTTTTCGGTGCTTTCTTTCCCAAGCAGGACATGGTGTTTTCGGTGGTGAGAAACCACCTCTGTGATACACACAGTCAATTTTCACCTGCAACTAAATCGGTTTCGCACTAAATTTTCCATTTAGACAAGGAAAGCCAGCGTTTACCTGGTAAACTAGTAAGATGTTATCCCAGACCAAATTCACCAACATCTATAAAACTGTCAGTCATGGAGGAATTTTTGCCATGAGCCAGGAACCACAAGGACATTAACCCTTTTGCAATGAAATAGATGAAAAATAATTCAAATCCTCAAACTCAAGGAAAACTAAGTCCTCTTGGGGCCCAACTGTCCTGGTGGCCAGGCAGGCACCCAGAGAGTCATCCCTCAGCCAAGCCACAAGACAGCTCTCACTCTCCTCCCCCAGAAACACTTAAGAAATCCCCAAGTGAGATGAAGGTTGATGGAAGTAAAAACCTATTCAGAACAAATGATCCTTTATCATACATGGATTTACCAGACATTTTGTTTCTCCCATATTAAATTTTTGTTTTCATGGGCACCTTTGCTCATTAGGGCCTTCCAGGGGAAGAAGACCCTTTGACATCAGTGAAATTGTCTGTTTCACGACTTTCTGGGACACCCACAGGTAAAAATGAAGGGTCTTCGTGCATGCCACCATTTTGAAGTGATGTTGACCTGGAAGTCAGTGGATATGACCCTGCTGCCTCAGGTGATTGCCAGTCTCTGGGGTGCCAGCTTTCTCCTCCATACAATGAGGGTAACAAAGGAATTGCTTCTGAGAAGAGTGACAAGGGATTTTGGTTTCGAAGTCTGCATATAAAGCAAAACAACACCCGTATTATCAATACTGCACTTGAAAATCTCCAGCCTGGAACAGATCTATTTCTTTGAGCACCAAATGAAGATGGTGCAGCTTGCATTCAGGGACTACATTAAAGGATGCTGTGCATGTCTCTTTCCTCTGGGTGGAGCACTCACCCTCTGAGGAGCAGGAGAAGGGACACCCCGAGGACACAGCTACCTTACAGCTCAGGCTGAGGCAGGGACTCCCTGAGGGGGACGATGCCACTACCTCCTGTCCTTCCTCCTCCCAGCTCACCTTCCTTCACTGGTAAAGATTACCTATGAAATTCACTAAGCGGATGTGCATATATATGGCATGCTATCATATTGTTTATTCATGTGAGATAACAATGATGATGGAAACTACTGTTACTTGTCTTTTACAGGTCGGAGCAGTGAGGCTCCAAGAGGCAGGGCTGAGATAGGTAATGAAGAGGCCCATGGTCATTCCCTAGCTCGTATGACTTCTCCAGGAGCATGCCTGGCCTCAGGCTGAATGCAGAAAGAGTGGTGAGACACCAAATCAGCCCATGTGGAATAGTCACTCTGCTGGGCATAGAACAAGGCATGCCTGCACACATTCTATGTAAAGGTTTTGTTCTCGTTGTGGAAAACCAGTGGAATTTATCATTTGTAACCATTGTAACCGCTGTCGTAACCTCCGGTGAATTTTCAAATGTAAACATAACAAAAGGTTTCTGCCTTTTGGGTTTATTAGTGAATATATCACATCAATATAAGATGCATTTCCATGCCTGCACCAGTAGGCACCCTTCCAATGGCTTGGTAATTAAAAGCCTTCATCTTCACTCTCTAGCCTGAGACCTGTCAGCACTTTTAAGTGCTTTCATTTTCAGTGTTACTTATAATTACAAAAATCCTAGGAAAAACTAAATCTAATTATATGAGAGATTTATAAAGTAAGTTATGATTAGTAAATACAATAGAATACAGGTACTGACATTTAAAAACCAGACTGTATAAGACAACATAAACAGTATACGTTTAAGTTGACAACATAAACTTTTACCTCTATAAATTTCTTCAAAATATGTGTAGTATGTGTGTTTTAGTCTGTTTTTGTGCTGCTATATGAGTGCCTGAGGCTAAGTAATTTATAAAGAACAGAAATTTCTCAGTTCTCGAGGCTGGGAAGTTCAAGATCAAGGTTCTGGCATCTAGTGAGGGTCTTCTTACTGCATCTTCACATGTTGAACACTGTCCCCTCTTCTCACAGCCCAATGGACTCTGACAAGTCGCTGCTGCTGTCATGCCCTTGATAGCTTAGACTCCCCATACAGGCAGCTGTGTTGGAGTTGGGCTTCAGGTTTCAATTCTTTGAGGTCTCACTCACAGGCTCAACCTTTGTTCCCTCTTCTAGGATATTTGAGATGATGAGAGCTGGCACATTCTGAGCCAAATTCAAGTTTTACTCATGAACCCTAGGGCTCTGAGTTGAGTCTCACTTGTTTAATGGTTGCTGAATAGTCTATTACACAGACATATGACAATTTATTTAGGCATTCTCCTCTTTTTTTTTTTTTTTTTTTTGAGACAGTCTCACTCTGTTGCCCAGGCTGGAGTGAGGTGGCACAATCTCGGTTCACTCGACTCTGCCTCCCAGGTTCAAGCAATTCTCCTGCCTCAGCCTCCCAAGTAGCTAGGATGACAGGTGCATGCCACCACGCCCGGCTAATTTTTGTAATTTCAGTAGAGGTGGGGTTTCGCTATGTTGACCAGGCTGGTCTTGAACTCCTAACATTAGGTAATCTGCCCACCTCGGCCTCCCAGAGTGCTGGGACCACAGGTATGAGCCACCACGCCAGGCCGGCTTCCTCCTCTTATCTGACAGGTAGGGCTTTTATTTCTATTTTTTTCCCTGATGTAAATAACCATAATGAACATCTTCGTTCATATATCCTTGAACACATCTCTGACTACTTTCTAAAAATAGAACTACTTGGCAACAGTGTATGAACATTTTTAAGCTCTTTTACACCTATTGTCAAATTATTTGGCAACATCTTCCAGACAACCATGTATAAAAGTAACCATCTCACCCAACCTCTTATCAGTGCTCAATTTTAGCATAAAAAGCAAACCTTGCTAACTGGATATTTTGATCTGCATTACTTAATTTTGGATATAAAAATACATGTGACAGCTTTATGTGTTTCCTCCTTCTGTGACTTATGTGTTCCTGAGTAAAGGTAAAGTTTTTCTGTGCCCTGTATAATTGGAAAAATTCAGGTTTATTTGAGTGCCCCAATCAGCATTCCGAAAAGATGAAGACACTAAATGCCTTGCAGAAGCAGTAGTACCTATTTTTTACTGTTCTCTATTAGCTGACTGAACTATTTGCTTTGAATTCTAAGAAATTATTTTTTAAATTCCCAGTTGGGGATTCTGGCTTTTCTTTCTTCCTTTCTTTCTGTTTTTCTTTTTTTTAATTCATTTATTCTATTTCCTTCCTAGTTCTGTCTTCTGATAGAAATAAATGGTAAAAGTTACTTTCTACCAGCATGAGATGATAAAGCTATGTCAACTTATGCAGGGAATTAGAAATTCAACCTTTTAAATTAATTGCAGTTTATGTTACTTCACCAAGTGCCGTGACCTGAAAAACTGATGCTGTGCCTGGCACCATTAATGTGAATATTTTGGTCTTAGCCTTTCTGTCAATAATCATGTCAAACTGTTCTGAGATGTAAACTCTTTTAGAATCATACTTTGGCATAATTCATCTAGACTATATCATTTTTGTGGTATTTTTTATTAGTAGAAGTGACAGGCCAGTTAAGAGGATTTTAGAAACAATTAAGATATTAATTCATGATAAAAGAATATTTCCAAAGTCTGGGGCATTTTCCTACATATTGCTGGGTCCAAGTGAAAACTCAACACTCCAGAAGAAAATTTGCCCCACCTTTAGGAGAGTGTTTTAAACCTTGAGCCTATATTTTATTTTATTCCTTTGCTATTTTATGAATTAATCATTTCAGGAAAGTAAATTGAAAACAGGAGTCTTCAGAACTCTGAGAAACACACACTCTAAGATTGTCACTTTTAAAATTAAGGTTCATTATTTGGATTTTCCATTTTTAGTTCAACTAGTATTTCTATTTATAAACTTCCAACCCCATTAGTTTGTTGTTGTTGTTGTTGTGTATTGTTAATGTCTTTTCTTCTGCCACAAACATTATACATGACCCAATCCCAAGCATCCCCTTGTAAAAGGTGCTTACTTAAACCAACAAAACAAACCAGCAGGAGAAAGAATTAGAGGGGACCTTTCTGAGAAGCAAAGGGGTCTCAGCATTATAAACAACATGGAAATAGATAATAGAATTGTGTCAAGTATCCCAAATCAAATTTATGTTGTCAATAATGTAATTGTTTCCACCTCTGCGAGAAACTTACGCACCACACTTTTGTTGACTATATAGATTGAGTACAGTTTTCTCTTCTAACCACACCCCCATTAAAATGTAACACATGTCTATAGCAAGCATGAAATCAAAAGACAAAGTACAGGAAATTGTTTTCATGTATTCCCTGTGCTTTAAAAGAATGGATAAGAGAAATCTTTGCAATTACTACTTTCTTAATACTTTATGGCTCAGTACAAAGAATCTTGCCTATTCTTCACCCAATCTTCTTGAGAAATGATGCAATCTCAATTCATTCATTCTTGCTCTCAGGTAAACTATAAGATTTGCATGTCAGCTTATGCAGGGAATCAGAAATTCAACCTTTTAAATTAATTGCAGTTTATGCTACTTCACCAAGTGCTGTGACCTGAAAAACAGATGCTGTGCCTGGCATCATTAATGTGAATATTTTTTATCCTAGCATTTCTGTCAATAATCATGTCGAACTGAACAGTATCTGAGTAAACTTTCTTACATGTTCTGAAATTGAAGAACATACAAAAGTGTGTTCTTCCATGAATGTAATCATAACCAAATATAAAATCTAAAATGCTACTTGTAGTATTTCAGCTGCCTGTATCAGTTCCTCAATAAAAGTAGGGAGCTCCTCGAATAGTAACTATTCTGGAAGTGCCAAATGTATTCTAAAAAGAAGGAAGAAAAGGCACATTTGCTTACAAAACCATCACAAATGTCTACCTCCTACTCTCAAATGTGGTGTGTCTGATCCACTGCAATGGACAGGGCTAGGTGATTGGAAAGTGAGGACAGCTCCTCAGTGTGGCCCAGCCTGAGACACAGCCCCGTCACTGTTGACATCAGGATCAGATTCATTGGTCTCATGGAGACAGGACAACCTGAAACACTTAGGGACCTCTGGCTGGCAGGTCAACATCCAGTTCACCTCAAGTGAAGCTCAGAGGCATTAAGTCTTGACTGATTTTTTGAAAATAGGTCTACACAAATTGCTAGTTTGGGGGTTTTGAATGCTCATTTGTAAGAAAAGTGAAATTCCCACCTTCCAAGACATTCCATAAATTGGAAAAAGAAGAATTGATTTTCTATATAGTTTTCTGTTCCTTCTATATATGTAACGCAATTAGGTACGTCTCTCGTAAGATAAATGTATGTGAATGACTTGAATGATACAGACGCTCCTTTGCTTGCACTCTGGCTAGGTTGTGGAAAGTATTCTCAGAGTCAATTATTTATAAGACCAAAGTGATTTTATTTTTTTAAATATTTTTTCGTTTGAACTTTCTCTTTTTTTAATTATACTTTAAGTTCTGGGATATATGTGCAGAACGTGCAGGTTTGTTACGTAGGCATACAAGTGCCATGGTGGCTTGCTGCACCCATCAACCCATCATCTACATTAGGTAATTCTCCTAATGTTATCCCTCCCCTAGCTCCCCATCCCCCACAGGCCCCACCGTGTGATGTTCCCTTCCTTGTGTCCACGTGTTCTCATTGTTCACCTCATTTTCTGTGCCTTTGTTAGTTTGCTGAGAATGATGGTTTCCAGCTTCATCCATGTACCTGCAAAGGACATGAACTCATCCTTTTTATGGCTGCATAGTATTCTATGGTATATATGTGTCACATTCTCTTAATCCAGTCTATCATTGATGGGCATTTGGGTTGGTTCCAAGTCTTTGCTATTGTGAATAGTGCCACAATACACATATGTGTGCATGTGTCTTCATAGTAGAATGATTTATAATCCTTTGGGTATATACCCAGTAATGAGATTGCTGGGTCAAATGGTATTTCTGGTTCTAGATCCTCGAGGAATCACCACACTGACATCCACAATGGTTGAACTAATTTACACTCCCACCAACAGTGTAAAAGTGTTCCTATTTCTCCACATCCTATCCAGCATCTGTTATTTCCTGACTTTTTAATGATCGCCATTCTAACTGGTGTGAGATGGTATCTCGTTGTGGTTTTGATTTGCATTTTTCTAATGACCAGTGTTGATGAACGTTTTTGTCTGTTGGCTGCATAAATGTCTTCTTTTGAGAAGTGTCTGTTCATATCCTTCGCCCACTTTTTGATGGGGTTGTTTGTTTTTTTTCTTGTAAATTTGTTTAAGTTCCTTGTAGATTCTGGATAATAGGCCTTTGTCAGTTGGATAGATTGCAAAAATTTTCTCCCATTCTGTGGGTTGCCTGTTCACTCTGATGATAGTTTCTTTTTCTGTGCAGAAGTTCTTTCATTTAATCAGATCCCATTTGTCAATTTTGGCTTTTGTTGTTGCTTTCGGTGTTTAGTCATGAAGTCTTTGCCCATGCCTATGTCCTGAATGGTATTGCCTAGGTTTTCTTCTAGGATTTTTATGGTTTTAGGTGTCATGTTTAAGTCTTTAATCTATCTTGAGTTAATTTTTGAATAACGTGTAAGGGGTCCAGTTTGTGTTTTCTGCATATGACTAGCCAGTTTTCCCAACACCATTTATTAAATAGGTAATCCTTTCATTGCTTGTTTGTGTCAGGTTTGTCAAAGATCAAATGGTCGTAGATGTGTGGCGTTATTTCTGAGGCCTCTGTTCTGTTCCATTGGTCTATGTAACTGTTTTGGTACCAGCACCATGCTGTATGGCATTATTCCTGAGGCCTCTGTTCTGTTCCATTGGTCTATGTATCTGTTTTTGTACGAGTACCATGCTGTTTTGGTTACTATAGCCTTATAGTATAGTTTGAAATCAGGTAGCATGATGCCTCCAGCTTTGTTCTTTTTGCTTAGGATTGTCTTGGCTATACAGGCTCTTTTTTGGTTCCATATGAAATTTAAAGTAGCTTTTTCTATTTCTGTAAAGAAAGTCAATGGTAGCTTGATGGGGACAGCATTTAATCTAAAAATTACTTTGGGCAGTATGGCCATTTTCACGATATTGATTCTTCCTATCCATGAGCATGGAATGTTTTTCCATTTGTTTTTGTCCTCTTTGCTTTCCTTGAGCAGTGGTTTGTAGTTCTCTTTTGAAGAGGTCCTTCACATCTTTTGTAAGTTGTATTCCTAGGTATTTTATTCTCTTTGTCACAATTGTGAATGGGAGTTCACTCATGATTTGGCTCTCTGTTTGTCTATTATTGGTGTATAGGAATGCTTGTGATTTTTGCACATGAATTTTATATTCTGAGACTTTGCTGAAGTTGCTTATCAGCTTCAGGAGATTTTAAGGTGAGACGATGGGATTTTCTAAATATACAATCATGTCACCTGCAAACAGAGACAATTTGACTTCCTCTCTTCTATTTGAATATCCTTTATTTCTTTCTCTTGCCTGCTTGCCCTGGCCAGAACTTCCAACACTATGTTGAATAGGAGTGCTCAGAGAGGGCATCCTTGTCTTGTGTTGGTTGTCAAAGGGAATGCTTCCAGCTTTTGCCCATTCAGTATGATACTGTGGGTTTGTCATAAATAGCTCTTATTATTTTGAGATACGTTCCATCAATACGTAGTTTATTGAGAGTTTTTAGCATAAAGTGGTGTTGAATTTTATCAAAGACCTTTTCTGCATCTATTGACATAATCATGTGGTTTTTGTCATTGGTTCTGTTTATGTTATGGATTATGTTTATTGATTTGCATATGTTGAACCAGCCTTGCATCCCAGGGATAAAGCCAACTTGATCATGGTGGATAAGCCTTTTGATGTGCTGCTGAATTCAGTTTTCCAGTATTTTATTGAGGATTTTCACATCAATGTTCATCAGGGATATTGGCCTGAAATTTTATTTTTTTGTTGTGTCTATGCCAGGTTTTGGTATCAGGATGATGCTGGCCTCATAAAATTAGTTAGGAAGGATTTTCTCTTTTTCTATTGTTTGGAATAGTTTCAGAAGGAATAATACCAGCTCCTCTTTGTACCTCTGGTAGAATTCAGCTGTGAATCCATCTGGTCGTGGGCTTTTTTTGTTGGTAGGCTATTAATTACTGCCTCAATTTCAGAACTTGTTATTGGTCCATTCAGGGATTTGACTTCTTCCTGGTTTAGTCTTGGGAGGGTTTGTGTCCAGGAATTTATCCATTTCTTCTAGACTTTCTAGTTTATTTGCATAGAGGTATTTGTAATATTCTCAGATGGTAGTTTGTATTTCTCTGGGATCAGTGGTGATATCCCCTTCATCATTTTTTATATGTCTATTTGACTCTTCTCTCTTTTCTTAGTAGTCTGGCTAGCAGTCTATTTTGTTAATCTTTTCAAAAAAACAGTTCCTGGATTCATTGATTTTTTGAAGGGGTTTTCATGTCTCCATTTCCTTCAGTTCTGCTCTGATTTCAGTTATTTCTTGTCTTTGGCTAGCTTTTGAATTTGTTTGCTCTTGCTTCTCTAGCTCTTTTTATTGTGATATTAGGGTGTCGATTTTAGATCTTTCCTGCTTTCTTCTGTGGGCATTTAGTGCTATAAATTTCCCTCTAAACACGGCTTTAGCAGTGTCACAGAAATTTTGGTACATTGTAACTTTGTTCTCATTGGTTTCAAAGAACTTATGTATTTGTGCCTTAATTTTGTTATTTACCCAGCAGTCATTCAGGAGCAGGTTGTTCAGTTTCCATGTAGTTGTGAGGTTTTGAGTGAGTTTCTTAATCCTGAGTTCTAATTTGATTGCATTGTGGTCTGAGAGACCGTTATGATTTCTGTTCTTTTGCATTGCTGAGGAGTGTTTTACTTCCAATTATGTGGTCAATTTTGGAATAAGTGTGATGTGGTGCTGAGAAAAATGTATACTCTGTTGATTTGGGGTGGAGAGTTCTGTAGATGTCTATTAGGTCCACTTGGTCCACAGCTGAGTTCAAGTCCTAAATATCCTTATTAATTTTCTGTCTCATTGATCTAATATTGACAGTGAGGTGTTAAAGTCTCCCATTATTATTGTGTGGGAGTCTAAGTCTCTTTGTAGATGTCTAAGAACTTGCTTTATGAATCTGGGTGCTCCTATATTGGGTGCATATATATTTAGGATAGCTCTTCTTGTTGCATTGATCCCTTTACCATTATGTAATGCCCTTCTTTGTTTGCTTTCTTTTTTTTAATCTTTGTTGGTTTAAAGTCTGTTTTATCAGAGACAAGGATTGCAACCCCTGCTTTTTTTTTTTTTTTTGCTTTCCATTTGCTTGGTAAATGTTCCTCTATCCCTTTATTTTGAGCCTATGTATGTCTTTGCATGTGAGATGGGTCTCCTGAATACAGCACACTGACGGATCTTGACACTTTATCCAATTTGCCAGTCTGTGTCTTTTAATTGGGGCATTTAGCCCATTTATATTTAAGGTTAATATTGCTATGTGTGAATTTGATCCTGTCATTATGATGTTAGCTGGTTATTTTGCCTGTTAGTTGATGCAGTTTCTTCATAGTGTCGATGGTCTTTACAATTTGGTATGTTTTTGCAGTGTCTGGTACCTGTTTTTCTTTTCCATATTTAGTGCTTCCTTCAGGAGCTCTTGTAAGGCAGGCCTGGTGGTGACAAAAATCTCTCAGCATTTGCTTGTCTGTAAAGGATTTTATTTCTCCTTCACTTATGAAGCTTAGTTTGGCTGGATATGAAATTCTGGGTTGAAAATTCTCCTCTTTAAGAATGTTGAATATTGGCCCCTGCTGTCTTCTGGCTTGTAGGGTTTCTGCAGAGAGATCCCCTGGTAGTCTGATGGGCATCCCTTTGTGGGTAACCTGACCTTTCTCTCTGGCCGCACTTAACATTTTTTCCTTCATTTCAACCTTGGTGAATCTGATGATTATGTGTCTTGGGGTTGTTCTTCTCAAGAAGTATCTTTGTAGTGTTCTCTGTATTTCCTGAATTTGAATGTTGGCCTGTCTTGCTAGGCTGGGGAAGTTCTCCTTGATAATATCCTGAAGAATGTTTTCCAAATTGGTTCCATTCTCCCTGTCACTTTCAGGTACACCAATCAAACGTAGGTTTGGTCTTTTCACATAGTCTCATATTTCTTGGAGGCTTTGTTCATTCCTTTTCATTCTTTCTTCTCTAATCTTGTCTTCACGCTTTATTTCATTAAGTTGATCTTCAGTCTCTGATATCCTTTCTTCTGATTGATCGATTCAGCTGTTGATACTTGTATATGCCTCACAAAGTTCTCATGCTATGTTTTTCAGCTCCATCACGTCATTTATGTTCTTATCTAAACTGGTTATTCTAGTTATCAATTCCTCAACCCTTTTTTCAAGATTCTTAGCTTCCTTGCATTGTGTTAGAACATGCTCCTTTAGCGTAGAGGAGTTTGTTATTACCCACCTTTTGAAGTCCACTTCTGTCAATTCACCAAACTCATTCTCTGTCCAGTTTTGTTCCCTTGCTGGTGAGGAGTTGGGATCTTTTGGAGGAGAAGAGGTATTCTGATTTTTGGATTTTTTCAACCTTTTTGTGCTGGTTTTTCCTCATCTTCTTGGATTTATCTACCTTTGGTCTTTGATGCTGGTGACCTTCGGATGGGTTTCTGCATGGACGTCCTTTTTGTTGATGTTGATGCTATTCCATTCTATTTGTTGGTTTTCCTTCTAATAGGCCTCTCTGCTGCAGGTCTGCTGTAGTTTGCTGGAGGTCCACTTCCGGCCCTGTTTGCCTGGGTATCACCAGTGGAGGCTGTAGAACAGCAAAGATTGCTGCCTATTCCTTCCTTTGGAAGCTTCATCCAGGAGGGGCACCTGCCAGATGCCAGCCAGAGCCCTCCTGTATGAGGTGTCTGTCGACCCCTGCTGGGAGGTGTCTCCCAGTCAGGAGGCACGGGGGTCAGGGACCCACTTGAGGAGGCAGTCTGTCCCTTAGCACAGCTCAGGCACTGTGCTGGGAGATCCCCTGCTCTCTTCAGAGCCAGCAGCACGAACGTTTAAGTCTGCTGAAGCTGTGCCCACAGCCACCCCTTCCCCCAGGTGCTCTTTCCCAGGTAGATGAGAGTTTTATCTATAAGCTCCTGACTGGGGCTGCTGCCTTTTTTTCCAAGATGCCCTGCCCAGAGAGGAGGAATCTAAAGAGGCAGTCTGGCTACAGTGGCTTTGCCAAACTGCCATGGGCTACCCCCAGTTTGAACTTCCAGGCGACTTTGTTTACACTGTGAGGGGAAAACCACCTACTGAAGCCTCAGTAATGGCAGATGCCCTTCCCCCCACCAACCTCAAGCATCCCAGGTTGACTTCAGACTGCTGTGCTGGCAGCGAGAATTTCAATCCTGTGGATCTTATCTTGCTGGGCTCCATGGGTGTGGGATCTGCTAAGCTAGACCACTTGGCTCCCTGGCTTCAGCCCCCTTTCCAGGGGAGTGAACAGTTCTGTCTCGCTGGTATTCCAGGTGCCACTGGGGTATGAAAAACAACTCCTGCAGCTAGCTCGGTGTCTGCTCAAATGGCCGTCCAGTTTGGTGCTTGAAACCCAGGGCCCTGGTGGTGTAGACACCTTAAGGAATCTCCTGGTCTGTTGGTTACAAAGACCATGGGAAAAGTAGTATCTGGGCCCAGAATGCACCATTCCTCATGGCACACTCCCTCATGGCTTCCCTTGGCTAGGAAAGGGAAATCCCCTACCCCTTGCATTTCCCAGGTGAGGCAACACCCCACCCTGCTTCAGCTTGCTCTCCATGGGCTGCACCCACTGAATAACCAGTCCCAATGAGATGAGCTGTGTACCTCAGTTGGAAATGCAGAAATCACCCAACTTCTGCGTTGATCTCACTGGGAGCTGCAGACTGGAGCTGTTCCTATTCCGCCATCTTGCCAGCCACCCAGAGTGATTTTATAAAGGCAACTATTAGCCTTATTTTTTGGCAGTGGGAATAGTCACAGTGCTAATGGTGTTCATACCTTTCTTTATATCCATGAAAATGTGTAAGTTGAACACTTATAAGAGGAAAACAACCATACTATAAATAAATGTATAACATATACATTAGTTTCCTGGGCTGCCATAGCACATTACCACAAAGTAAATGGCTTACAACAGCAGAAATTTATTCCCTCACAATTCTGGAAGCTAGAAGTCTGAAATTCAGTGTTGACAGGGTTGGTCTCTTATGGAAGTTCTGAGGGAGAATCTTTTCCATGCTCTCTTCTAGGTTCTGGTGGTCGCTGGTAACCCTTGATGTTCTTTGGCTAGGGGACACATCACTCCAATGACTGCTTTCATCTTCTCCTGGTGTCCTCTGCTTTGTGAGGAGGATTCACAAAGTGAGTGCTCTGTGTTTCCCTGAGTCCAAACATCCTCTAAGTCTAATGTCTAAAGACACTAGTCATTGGGTTAGTCCTCGCCGTAATCCAGTATGACCTCATATTAACCCAATTATATCTACAAAGACCCTATCTCCAAATAAGGTCACATTCACAGGTATAAGGGGTTAAGATTTTAAGATATCATCATGAGGAACACAATTTAACCCATAATAACCAGCATCTCCAAAACAGGGTATTTCCATTCAACCAAAATGCTAAAATTACCTTGTGTAAATGAAAGAACAAGTTTTGAAAAGTTATTATTTATGTTTCCACTGGGAATATTAAAATTTGTATCCACTTAATTTGAGAAACATTCATAATAGCAAGGTTTCATATATATGTGTATTATTTGTGGAGATACGCATGCACCCATCCACTTAACTCATATACACACAAACACACAATCTTATACCACACAGGCTTCTGCATGAGGGTGTGATGAGGCTTTACTGTCATGCTTCCCTAGCTGTGCATATGTACATGTGTACAAGCGGAGCATATCTAAATAATGTTCATCTGTCTTTGAACCCATTCCACAAATCACTGTCTGGCAGTGGAGAAATTAAGAAGATTCAGATTACAAAATTAATAAGATTCAGATTACAAAATTAATAAGATTCAGAGTACAAGTTTATTAAATGATGGTGGGTGAGTCATCAACAAACACATGTCAAGTAGTACTTTGTCCCCCCTCTCTTTTTGTTTCTTGAATTTGATGTTCACGGATGTTATGGCTAACTATTCACCTAACCTGTCTCTTCATCCTTGGCCCACACCTAGGTGACATTTCTTAGCCAGTTAGACAAAGCCATGGACCTGACTTCTACTCATCAGAATGTGAACAGAAGGAATATGTGCCACTTCCAGGCTTGGCTCATAAAAACCTGCAATGGATGCTCTTTCCTGGTGTTCCCTCCTTCCTCTGGATTGGCTCCGATGAGCAAAGCATCCTTTTGGAAGCTGTTTTGAAGATGGCAGAGCCATAAGGCAGAAGAAGCCTGAGTTTCTGAGTCACTAAGTGGCAATCATGAACACCCATATTAAGCTTTATTATGTCTAAGCCATTATATAATTTAGGGTTTGTTTGTCACATCACCTTGCACCACCTTAGTATAAATATGTGTGCTACAAACACAAATGGGGATTTAAGCTGGCATAAGTCAGCAGGAATGTGAGAATGACTGAAAAGTAATGTCATTATTATTTGATTGCAATGTTCTCCCTGCCTAACTAGTGCCTTGAAGCCTGTGCAGCTGATCATGCTCTTGAATGCCTTTCATCTTATTGCTGGCTTATGTACATGTGATACAAGGCCATGCATATTTCTCTCTTATTTCAAGCCTTTGACCTGTCTCCTTAACTACATAGTAAACTCGTTGAAGCCTTTTGCTTTGTCTGCTACTGCTCCTAGTTCAGAGTTCAGGACTATTGAATGCTCAATATATATTTATTTATCTGAGGGTAGACTGATTCTTTAAACAAAGCCAAGGGAAAATTTTACCAGCTAAATAATT
The DNA here is from genome assembly GCF_000001405.40 of Homo sapiens. Lineage (NCBI taxonomy): Eukaryota > Metazoa > Chordata > Mammalia > Primates > Hominidae > Homo > Homo sapiens. Next base: position 27,016 of record NW_017363814.1, on the reverse strand, counting down.
TTTGGTGTATTTAATGACTTTTAAAACTAGTTTCAAGGCCATAAAGAAATTTAACCCATATGTATATTAATAAATATACTTACAGCATAAACATTAAAAACCATAAATACGATTAAAATCCATTTAAATTACTATTGGTCTCTTCATTTAAGGATATGAAAGAGGTTTTATTGAATTTTTCTCATAGCATTTTGAGAGAAAATGGGACATTCTTAGAAACAAATTTATTTTGAACTGAGACTTTCAATGTGTTTCTTGACACACCTAATGTATCAAATCACAGCTAAAATTAAATTAAAGGAGGAAAAACACCCATGCTATTTCTCAGGTTTAGACACAGTAAACAGGCTCACAAAACCAATGTCAGGCCATCTGTAAATTACTTCCCACATAAACTCTGTTTCACAATCTGGTCCTAAACTAATGAAAATGTAACTCAAGTCCAAGTCAGATTAACCTAAGTTTAACTGGCCTATATGAGAATCCATATGCAACATGTAAAACCATACAACTAAGAGACGAGAGACAAAAAGTGATAGAAGGTAAGGATTTTATCCTTGCAGTGGCTTTTGTCTATTTCTGCCCAGCTTCTGTGCATTTCTCTGGTAACATAATCTATCCCTTTGGCCTCATGAGAGTTCAGAAGACCAGGGCTAGCCCAGTTAGTGTATCCTCCTGTTCTCAGACGTGGAAGCCAGGATGACAATTGATGGTCAGTGATGGTCAGTTGCAACTGACCCTAACTAAGATCTGCCCTGAAATTTTTCCACCTAAGATTAATGGGACAGAACTTCTTTACTCTCCTGGTGGCAGAGTTGTTGGGTTGACTTGAGGGATTCCTGTTGCCCATCACGTGCCAAAGATGATGCAGAGGTAAGAGAGTGAAGTCAGCACAGACGAAAAGCAGATGCCAGACAGAAATGGAGAGAGGGAGCCTTGAGAGCATCAAGGGCCACCAGCATTGTCATTCCCGAGGCCAGTATTATCCTTTGTCCTGAGTTTGGTTTTATGAGCCTATAAATTCCCATTATTGAGTTAAAGCTAGCTTGTGTTAGATTTTTGTCACTTGAAACTAAAAGGCAGTCCTAAACCTGCAGTCCCTAAAGCTAATGTTGTCTTCCCACTCTGGCATGGGACCACTATAGTTGGTTTCTGTTAGTTGGATAATCTTCTGCCCTCAGTAATATCACTTTGGCTATTGATCTGACTCTATTTTTTCAAACTATTTTCCCACAAGACCTTAAAGGGTATATCTTGTATAACATATGCATAATAAATATTCTGAAAGATTAAGAATAATATACCTTGGTATCATGAAAATCTCATAAATATTTGTGCTTAATCTACCTAAAACTCTGGATATCAAAAGTGAACACTGGTCCTGGGAAAAACTGATTAAACTCTTGAATATTTTAGGGAGATATTTATGATTATGCATAAATATTTGTGCATAATCTACCATAAATAATTGTGCATAATCTACCTAAAATATTCTACTTCATGGTAGTCCATTTAACAAGATACTCCATTTAACAAACTAGCAAATGGTTTGCTACTTGATTCAGTAGAATTCTACCACTCTAGGAGACATCTTTATTGTTTTACTAAAACAATGCTTGGTTGGCATGTTTAAAAAAAGACACTTAGAATTCTGTGAAGAAAGTCATTGATAACTTGATGGGGATGGCATTGAATCTATAAATTACCTTAGGCAGTATGGCCATTTTGATCATATTGATTCTTCCTATCCATGAGCATGGAATGTTCTTCCATTTGTTTGTGTCCTCTTTTATTTCATCGAGCAGTGGTTTAAAGGTCATATGGAATCAAAAAAGAGCCTGCATTGCCAAAACAATCCTAAGCCAAAAGAACAAAGCTGGAGGCATCACACTACCTGACTTCAAACTATACTACAAGGCTACAGTAACCAAAACAGCATGGTACTGGTACCAAAACAGAGATATAGACCAATGGAACAGAACAGAGCCCTCAGAAATAATACCACACATCTACAACCATCTGATCTTTGACAAACCTGACAAAAACAAGAAACGGGAAAAGGATTCCTTATTCAACAAATGGTGCTGGGAAAACTGGCTAGCCATATGTAGAAAGCTGAAACTGGATCCCTTCCTTACACCTTATACAAAAGTTAATTCAAGATGGATTAAAGACTTAAATGTTAGACCTAAAACCATAAAAACCCTAGAAGAAAACCTAGGCAATACCATTCAGGACACAGGCATGGGCAAGGACTTCATGTCTAAAACACCAAAAGCAATGGCAACAGAAGCCAAAATTGACAAATGGGATCTGACTAAACTAAAGAGCTTCTGCACAGCAAAAGAAACTACCATCAGAGTAAATAGGCAACCTACAGAATGGGAGAAAATTTTTGCAATCTACCCATCTGACAAAGGGCTAATATCCAGAATCTACAAAGAACTTAAACAAATTTACAAGAAAAAATCAAACAACCCCATCAAAAAGTGGGCAAAGGATATGAACAGACACTTCTCAAAAGAAGACATTTACGCAGCCAACAGATACATGAAAAAATGCTCATCATCACTGGCCATCAGAGAAATGCAAATCAAAACCACAATGAGATACTATCTCACAACAGTTAGAATGGCGATCATTAAAAAGTCAGGAAACAACAGGTGCTGGAGAGGATGTGGAGAAATAGGAACACTTTTACACTGTTGGTGGGCTGTAAACTAGTTCAACCATTGTGGAAGACAGTGTGGTGATTCCTCAAGGATCTAGAACTAGAAATACCATTTGACCCAGCAATCCCATTACTGGGTATATACCCAAAGGATTATAAATCATGCTGCTATAAAGACACATGCACACGTATGATTATTTTGGCACCATTCACAATAGCAAAGACTTGGAACCAACCCAAATGTCCATCAATGATAGACTGGATTAAGAATATGTGGCACATATACACCATGGAATACTATGCAGCCATAAAAAAGGATGAGTTCATGTCCTTTGTAGGGACATGGATGAAGCTAGAAACCATCATTCTCAACAAACTATCGCAAGGACAAAAAACCAAACACCACATGCTCTCATTCATAGGTGGGAATTGAACAATGAGAACACTTGGACACAGGAAGGGGAACATCACACACCATGGCTGGTCATGGGGTTGGGGGAGAGGGGAGGGATAGCATTAGGAGATATACCGAATGTAAATGATGAGTTAATGGGTGCAGCACACCAACATGGCACATGTATATATATATGTAACAAACCTGAACATTGTGCACATGTACCCTAGAGCTTAAAGTATAATAATAATAATTTAAGAAGACACTTGGCGCTATCTTTCTAGCATCCTGTAAGGATTGAGATTCTGGGAAAGTAATTCAATAGAGTAATAAAAGTAGTATCTCCCAGGATACATTTGGGAGCCAATCGTGTGGTGAAAGAGTACTCACTGACTTCAGAATTAGAAAACCTCAGGGACATATTTGGTTGTAAGTGAAAGAACTGTAACTTCTGTGATCTCAAACAAGTTTAGTACCACTAGTCTAGTTGCAACTAATATTGATCATGTTAATGGATAAGTCATATTATTCATATAGGAATTTATTATTTGAATCTGTCATGAGAATACAACCACTTCTTACCTAGTAGTAAATGTAATTTTTTTTAAATTCTGGCATCTGAGTTTTTGTGCCACCTGAGCTCTTGGTGGATTGCAGATTATTATTATTATCTAAATATTCATTGTCAAAAACCCCATAACTAAGAATTTGAAAAGTACCAATTGTCATCACAACATGAAAATGTTTACTAATCAACTCTTTATCAACAATATAAATCCCCACCAAAACATGCCACCCAACTTCACACTGGAGTCTATCCTCCTTCCTCTGGTTCCAAAGTCTTTTCAACTGCACATGAAATGGCAAACCTTGCAAACAATGAAGGATTTTACAAAAGTGAGAAAAGTTTTTTTCTTAGAAAACTGCTGGAATCACATGGAAAGTTACTGACGAATGAAAATCCAGGAGGTTTAGCTGCATTAGCAATTGAAGACAACAAAAATCAATAGACAATGAAATATAGGAATGTGAAATAAAATGATTTGGATATCAAAAGTTAACACTGGTCTTTGGAAAAACCAATTAAACTCCAAATATTTTTGCAAAATAACCCTCTGTTATGTATTACCTTCCTGCCGTAACGCTACTTTCCACCAAAAATGTTATTCTGATTGTTTGTTCTAGGAATGACAGTATAGACAAAATTAAATAATAATCTAAATTTAGTTTAATAAATAAAAATTATTTTTATATTTTTAGCTTTATTTTTCAAGACAAATTCTCAAACAAACCTTTTCCAATTTACTTGGAATTAGAAAAGTTGGTCTCCACTTTAAATGGATTCAATTTAAATGGACTTTTCTTGGTTCCAAGTTTCCTTTGATAATAACAATGTTCCTGTATCTTTATGAAAGCCCTCATAACATCATTCTTGTTTGTGTTTCCTATACCAGATTCAAACTGTGAGCTCCTTAAACACGGGTATCTTTTTAAATTCATCTTTGATTTCCCTAACACCTAGCCAGGTACCTGCTGCTAAGGTTGGCAAAATAAAAAAATTCATGATTGGATGCATCTAACAGATATTCAGCATCTACCTTGTCAAGGGCCTTGGAATGTCCACTTAAGATGAATGTCCTGAGCACTGGAAGTCTAAGTCTATTTCTAGAGGTATAGGCCTAGAATGGATACTCTCTTAAAATCCTTAAATTATGGCAATCCTTACCCTTTTCTGTATTTGCCTTCCTTTGAAAACAAAATTTTCAGGTATATTTTGCCTCACACACACACAGAAACAAGTTTCCAAGATATCCAAAGAAATTGATTGCTTGTAAAACCATCTCTTGTCACTAACAAGAGCCAACTCTTAGATGAGAAATCAACAAGCTCATCTTCCAAGAGTTGCAATACATGCTTGGGAGTGGTCTAGTGTAGTTTCTAGGAGCCAGAGGCACAATAAACTACTGCCAAAATGGTCTTGAGGCAGTCCATAAAGTGATTGGAAGCTGGCTGGACTTAAAATGAAGTTGGCATCAAGAGGGTTTGCACATTCAGCCTGCAGTTGCTAACATGCCTCTTTGATTCACTTAATGGAAAGTAACCCTAACAGAGGCCCTCTCTGCTTGGCCTGGAATTATATGGCTCAGACTAAACATATTAAATTCATTACAGCAAATTGGTCTTTGGCCCCTCGTGCCTGCAGGGATACAGGGAGGACAAAAGCCCTGCTGCTGTCAAGACATTGGAAATCTGCTGCTGGAGATACACAGTGAGGTGGGGATGGATTTTACACAGATTCAAAGTGGGAGTCATTATCTAATTGAAATAGATTGATTTAACGGCTTAGAGGATGATATAATGAGCCTGAGGAGGAACCCATAAAGGGCTTTTGTGAGCCTGAACAAGCATTCTGAAAAAACATCCCTGGAGTTTCATGCAGTGCTATATGAGCTCTTCATTTGGAGGCTTTGGAAGCCACATGCAGACCAAAATTAACAAGAATACTTGACATCACTTTTTTTCCTTAAAGAGAGAATAATGAGAAGCATCATAAGGCAATTCAATTTAGTGATCACCTACTATGCACCAGGCACCCTATTAGGCACAGTGTTATCCTGTCCTAAAAGTGCTCCCAGAGTTATTAAACAGGGCATATGGGTCAGAATTGCATCTAGATGTGGCCCAAACACAAATAAATTCTATTGAAATGTAGTATAAAAATTTAAAAGTTGTAGGGAATTTAAAAATACACCAAATATCCAAAGCAATCCTGAGGAAAAAGAACAAAGCTGGAGACGACACACTACCACACTTCAAAATATACTACAAAGCTATAGTAACTGAAACAGCATGGTACTGGCATAAAAACAGATATATAGAACAATGGAACAGAATACAGAACCCAGAAAATAATCCACATATCTACAGTCAACTGATTTTTTTAAAGAGATGGGGTTTCACCATATTGCCCAGGTTGGTCTCGAACTCTGGGCTCAAGTGATCCACCAGCCTCGGCCTCCCAAAGTGTCAGGATTACAGGCATGAGCCACCACACCCAACCTATGGTCAACTGATTTTTGACAAAGGCACCAAAAACACTTCTTGGGGAAAGGAGAGTCTCTTCAATAAATGGTGCTGGGAAAACTGGATATCCATATGCTAAAGAATGACACTAGACCCTCACCTCTCACTCTATACAAAAATCTTCTCAAAGTGGACCAAAGACCTAAATGTAAGACACAAAACTATAAAACTATTAGAAGAAAATATAGAAGAAACACTTCAGGACACTGGTCTGGAAAAAGATTTTAGGAATGAGACTTCAAAAGCACAAGCAACAAATGCAAAAATAAACAAATGAGATTATACTAAACTAACAAGCTTCTGCACAGCACACCAAAAATCTTCTGCCAAGCAAAAAATCAACAGAATGAAAAGCCAACCTAAAGAATAGGACAAAATATTTACAAACTATTCATCTGACAGGGGATTAATATCCAGAATATACAAGGAACTCAAACATCTCAACAGCAAAAATACAAACAAGCCGATTTAGAAAGAGTAAAAGGACCTATACAGTCATTTCTCGAAAGAATACATAGATGTGCAAATGGCCAACAAATATATTTTTTAAATGCTCAACCTCACCAATCAACAGGGAAATACAAATCAAAACCACAATGAGGTGTCACCACAATCTAGTTAGAATAGCAATTATCAAAAAGACAAAAAAAAAAAAAGCGGGGAGTGGGGGCAGGCACAGTGGCTCACGCCTGTAATCCCAGCACTTTGGGAGACCAAAGCAGGCAGATCACGAGGTCAGGAGATCAAGACCATCCTGGCCAACATGGTGAAACCCCATCTCTACTAAAAATACAAAACTTAGCTTGGTGTAGTGATGTGCGTCTGTAGTCCCAGCTACTTGGGAGGCTGAGATAGGAGAATCTCTTGAACCCGGGAGACGAAGGTTACAGTGAGCCAAGATCATGCCACTGCACTCCAGCCTGGCGACAGAGCAAGACTCCGTCAAAAACAAACAAACAAACAAAAGCAGGCTGGCAAGGATTCCCACCAAATCTTGCACACAGTTAGTGGGAATGTAAACTTGGATAGCCACAATGCACAATGGAGAACAGGATGGAGGTTCTGCAAATAACCACAAATAGAATTACCATATGACCCAGCAGTCGCATTACTGGCATTTATCTAAAGGAAGGGAAATCAGAGTATTGAAGAGACATCTGCATCCCCCTGTTTACGACAGCATTATTCACAATAGCCAAGATTTGGAATCAACCTAGGTGTCCAACAACAGTTGAATGAACACACACACACACACATACACACAATGGAATACTAGTCAGCCATAAAAAGAGTGAAATCCTGTCGACATGAATGGAATTGGAGGACATTATGTCAAGTGAAATAAGCCAGGAACAGAAAGTTAAACACTCATGTTCTCCCTCACATGTGGATGCTTAAAAATAGTTGATCTCACAGAAGTACCAACTAGAACAGAGGATACTAGAGGCTGGGAATGGCCGGGGAAAAGGGAGATAGGGGGAGATTTGTTAAAGGATGTTAAAGTTACAGCTAGATGAAGGAATAAGTTCTAGAGTCTTATACTACTGTAGGATGACTACTTTTAACAACAATATACAGTTTAAATAGCTAGAAGGAGGACATTGACTGTTCCCAACACAAAAAATGATTAGTGTTCAAATGATGGACATGCTAATTATCCTGACATGATCACTATATATTATATGTATTGAAATATCATATGTACTCCAGAAATATGTGCAATTATTATATGTCAATTTAAAAAAGAGAAGAATGAAAAAAAATTCAGGCAAAACAAACCCTAAACTTTCAAGGTGGCTGAACATTGGAACAAGATTTTTAAAACATCACATGTACATGTTTGTTGGGCAAGTCCACCTTGAGTGATTTGTGTTAGAGTTGGAGGCTGCGTGTGAAGCTTCCTGGAGTACTTTTAAGCCTCTTGACACTAGATCTGTTCAAGAGTGAAATTCAACAGAGGGCAGTGCTTAAATAGTAGCTTTTATGGGATTGTGAATAAGGTGTAATTCCAGGTTGAGGATTTCAGCTAGAATGGCAGGTGAGAAAGTCCCAAATGGCTTCCTTTCTACAGGGCTGCTGCAAACCTTGGACTTTGAAGCTAGCCACATAATGTCTACTAGCATATTAAATTTAGCTCTAATTTTTCTCCTTAAAAAGAAATTTTGAGTTAGTTTAAAAAGAAGCCAATTAACAAAAAGATTAGTAAAATAGAAATATCAATTAATAAACAAATAAAACAGGAGGGTGTAAATATATTACTTCAAATGCTGAAGCTAAAAATTTGCCTATATAGTTTCCTTGCAGTCAAGGCAAAAATGGAAACATAATTGGTTGCATTACTCTCATTATTGGAAAAAGGAGTCAAATCAGTTGTTTAAGGAAGAAAATAAACCTCTTAAACTCTAGAAGAAATTTCTCACATGGAGCTTTGTTCCGAAAGTATTAAGTTATATAAAGAATAATTGTCATGTATTTTTTGCAGAGCAAATTAAAAAGTGAACGTCATCTGCTTGTTTCATGTAGCAACTTTTTATTCTTTTGCTAAAAGCTGAAATAATACTATTAAAGCATAACTTAGAGTGAACAAAGTATTCTGCATTCTAAGTGTCTAATTTGAGTCAAGGTTAGAACTTAGAGATGTAAATTGATCCACAGGAAAGTAAGGATCTTTGCATTTAATGAATGATATCTGAATAGACTTCCTTACATGCTCTGAAATGGAAAAACATACATCTGTGTGTTAGTCCGTGAAGGGGTAAAACAGCTTACCCCTTCGTTTTAGAGATCACACATTTTTTTTCTCTCTTCCCACAGCATTTGCAGTTCCACCAATAACGCTCCCTATAATACACAGTGATTTTCAAATGGATGGGACAAGAGTGATGGAAAGGTGCTACCAGATATTCTGAAAGACCACATTCTTCAAGGGATAGACCTGCCTGCTTCCACTTGAGAATTTCTGCTTCAGATAACTTCTCTGTATGCAATTTCCTTCATCTTAGTTTTTGATGAGAGCATAGCGTTAGACGTTTTGAACTTGATATATTGGATGGGGTTCTGAGTGCCAACTGAAAGCACATCCCAAAAAGAAGGTCCAATTGCCAGTAGAACGTTGACAAGTTCCACCTGGGGTTCTCACTAGGAACTAGATTACAAAACTCCAGAGTTTCCATATAAACATAGCTATATATTTACTCTGGTATTTGAAAAAGAAAATCTAATTCAGTCCCCCAAATCTCTTGTCCTAGAAAAGGCAGAAATTTTATATTGGCCTCGATGTTCTTCAAAGATTAGAACTGGTGCAGTTATAGAAAAACTCCAGGAATGCTTCTAAAGTGCCTGCCAGGATATCATCATATCTATAAAGGATCAGGCTCCATTCTTTACCATTTTCCTGGGAACATGGGCTGCATAGGACAACACTTTTAGATGACTACTGCTGGGTGAAATTTGACCAGGGGAGAAAGACATCAACCTGAATGGTCCCTCCTACCTATAGAATTACAATTTGATCTCATCCTTTAACTCCACCTCTTCTCCAATCCAGGAAATGGTGGCTGGAGAAGGGGAAAACAAAGGCCTTTAGCACATTCTAGAGAAGAAGCAGAGGGACATGCAGTCACTGCACCAAAGACATCACACACTTTACCTACTTGGAACCTTTGGGCGAGGTAGATGGCGGGTGACTCTAAGCTACTATGTAGTAAACATGGAGTGCTTGACACTGAACGGCCATTACTTAAAGGAATTATCGCTTCTTTTAAGCCCAGAATATTAAGGAAACCAACTGAACAAATAAAAGCATATTAAATGTATGTCTTTTGTCATCCACAAGGAAAGCATTCTCTGTGAGACAACTTTTAATAATCTTTTCAATGAGTTCAATCCATTAAATTTATTATGTGAGGGAATGGAGGAAAAAGAGCAGAAATTCCAGATAGAAATGGATGCATGGAAGAGATATTTCACTCACATTGTATCCCTGGACTCCCATCCAATCAACACCAAGTCCAGCTGATTTGGCCCTCTCAATCTCTCTCAGTATTTTCTATCCTCTCCATTCTACACACCGGCTCTTGTCTCAGCCACGGCCATCTCTCCCAAGGCTACTGCAATTGCCTCCCAAGGACTCCTTTTTACTTCATCCACCATGATTGAACCCACAAGTGTGAGCATAACATTCACTTGGCTAAAAATCTTCTATGGCTTTCCATTTTGCTTAGGATTAAAACACACACACAAAGACACACACCCCTAACAAACAAACAAAAGAGCAGGGCCTCAGGGCCTAGGGGCCTCCTCTCACCTACTTCTCTGCATGTTTACCCTCTATATACACTGGGCTTCTTTCAGTTTTTCAAACATACCATACTTCTTCCTGCCCTCAAGGATTCACACTTGCTGCTTCTACCTGCCAACTTTCTTTCCCTGAATAATGCATGCTCTAGGTCTCAGGTAAAATGTTATTTCCTTCACAACCCCAGTCTTCTCAGACTCCTCACTCTTGATCAGCTCCTATAGCACCCTAAATCTCTCCATGATAATACTCAGAGCACTTTTACCCATTTATTAAACACCTGTCTTCCCCAGTGATTGAAAGTTTCATGAGAGAAGAGGCAAGATCTTTTTGTTTCAAATTGGTATCTACAGATTCTAACATAGTAACAGACACTATTATCCCAATTTTAGAAATGAGAATATTGAGACTTTGAGAGTTAAAATTATTTGTCTATGATCTTTAAACTCATAAGTAAAACTGAGCATCTCAACTTTGTCTATCTGGCACAAAAGTCTATATATGTGTATATATATACACACACACATATATGTATGTGTGTGTATATACACACACATATGTACATATATATGTACGCATATGTACATATGTATATGTGTATATACACACACGTACATATGTATATGTGTATATACACACACGTACATATGTATATGTACATGTATATGTATGTGTCTGTGTGTGTGTGTGTGTATATATATATATATAATTTCACCTGACTCCTATGATTCATGGACAAAGACATAGAAACATAAGAAATAAGTATTGGGTGCTGTATTAGTTCATTTTCACACTGCTATAAGGAAATCCCTGAGATTGGGTAACTTATAAAGGAAAGAGGCATGGCTGGGAGGCCTTAGGGAACTTACAATCATGGTGGAAGGGGAAGCAGGCACCTTCTTCACAAAGCAGCAGGAGAGAGAGTGTGCAAAGGAGGAACTGTCAAACACATATAGAACTATCAGATCTCATGAAAACTCACTATCATGAGAACAGAATGGGGGAAACCGCCCCCATGATCCAATCACCTCCCTCCCTCACACGTGGGGATTACAGATATCTCCCTCAACATGTGGGGATTATAATTTGAGATAAGATTTGGGTGGAGACACAGAGCCAAACCATATCAAGTGCCTATTATGTTCTTGGAAATCTATGCTATTGTAATTAATCCTTACTACCCTGTGTACTGTCCTTCTCACTTGTCTCTGTGACTAGATGTAAATTATTTGAGGTCAGAAACCTTGTCTTTTATTCTTGTACATACTTGACATGTACCATTAGGTCCTAAACACAAGAGAAGAATAGTGTGCTTAGTGATTATGAGCATTTACTGACTGTTTGAAGAGTAATAATTTGGAAAAATCACCTATTGGAAGAGAGGGATTGGGAGGGACTGTAAGGATAATTTTGGTCAGAAAGACACAGGAAATTCATGCCTAAAAGCATGTACACACATACAAGCACTCTCTATACTAAAAGCATAGCAACTACAGATGAAATACATAAAGAAAAAATCATGAAGACATAGCTAGGCTCAGAAAATAAGACATTCCTATTGACCATAAATAGATCATAAATGTAAATTGCTGAGTAGAGATGAAGCCTTGGGCATGCTGAAATCTAGTGTTAGAAGGTAGGAATGAAAGTTGGGGGAGTGAACAAAAACTGGCCCCTATGAAATGATTGCAACTAAAAGTGTCTGCTGTGAGCCAAAACTAAAATAGAGAAACTAACAACTAGGATATGAATTGACCCAAGGTAAAGCTAATTTTATAGGGTAGTCTGATAAAGTATTAATAGAAAAGTGGGCGAAGGACATGAACAGACACTTCTCAAAAGAAGACATTTATGCAGCCAAAAAACACATGAAAAAATGCTCACCATCACTGGCCATCAGAGAAATGCAAATCAAAACCACAATGAGATACCATCTCACACCAGTTAGAATGGCAATCATTAAAAAGTCAGGAAACAACAGGTGCTGGAGAGGATGTGGAGAAATAGGAACATTTTTACACTGTTGGTGGGAGTGTAAACTAGTTCAACCATTGTGGAAGTCAGTGTGGCGATTCCTCAGGGATCTAGAACTAGAAATACCATTTGACCCAACAATCCCTTTACTGGGTCTATACCCAAAGGATTATAAAACATGCTGCTATAAAGACACATGCACATGTATGTTTATTGCGGCACTATTCACAATAGCAAAGACTTGGAACCAACCCAAATGTCCAACAATGATAGACTGGATTAAGAAAATGTGGCACATATACACCATGGAATACTATGCAGCCATAAAAAAGGATGAGTTCATGTTCTTTGTAGGGACATGGATGAAGCTGGAAACCATCATTCTCAGCAAACTATCGCAGGGACAAAAAACCAAACACCACATGTTCTCACTCATAGGTGGGAATTGAACAATGAGAACACATGGACACAGGAAAGGGAATATCACACACCAGGGACTGTTGTGGGGTTGGGGGACGGTGGAGGGATAGCATTAGGAGATACACCTAATGTTAAATGACGAGTTAATGGGTGCAGCACACCAACATGGCACATGTATACATATGTAACTAACCTGCACGTTGTGCACATGTACCCTAAAACTTAAAGTATAATTAAAAAAAAGAAATATATTTAGAAATTCGAAAAGATAAGAAATAAGAAATAATAAGATGCAATATATAAATTAAAAACAAAAATGACAAAACAATAAGAAATTAAGTATAATAAATAGAAAATAAAAATCAGAAGTCTTAAGAATGAAAAGTAAAATACATAAAATAAAAATGCAACATACTACATGTATGCTAGATAAGAAGTGGTTGAAGAGTGAATTCGAGTACTAAAAGATGGCACTAAGAAATTCACCCACAACACAAAGACACTGAAGTCAGGAACATAAGAGAGTTAAGAATCAGGATTGTTTGAGAAACACCAACATTTATTTAATGAGAGTTTGAGAAAAAGAAAATGGAAGGAATATGAAGAAATATTTATTGAGAGTTTTTCAAAAGTGAAATCATGACACCTCAGATTAAAAATCCACTGTAAATACCAATAAGAATAAATAAAATTATCCCACAGAAACCCATTATAGAAAAACTGTAAAACATCAAGGAAAGATATCATCTTGTTGTAAAAAGACATGTTAGCTACAAAGGAACAACCAGAACGATCCACGTTTCTTGAGAGAAACAATATATGCCAGGGGACAAAAAAAATTCCTAAATGCTCCCTGAAAACAGGGGTTGTATTATGGTTGTATTCAGCTAAACCATCATTTCAAAAGGGGGCAAAATAAACTTTCAGAATATATAAGAATGGTAAGACTACATATCTCATATAAGAATAAAAATAGTTTACCTTCCACAGAAAATAATTATTGAAAAAAATATTTTAAAAAGTAAACCCAGAAAGTAGGGAAGAATATAGGAAGCAATGATGAGCAGAAAAATCATTAAAAATGCCAATAAATTTAATCAAGTATTAGCTATAAAAATAAATAATAAACATTTCCTGTTACAAAAATATTGAAACATTTAACAGTTATAAAACAGGTGTGTAGTTCAATATATAGTTAAAGAGTGCTAAGACCCTTGCTCAGGAGGAGACTGGAAATACCCAACAATTTTAATTTTGTTGAAAAGTTTATACTTGAGTATATAGATATAGATATAAAACCAATGCACATGTTACACATACTGTTTGATGTCTCATGTCTCCCTAAAATGTATAGAACCATGCTATACCCTGACCACCTTGGGCATATGTCATTAGGACCTTCTGAGGCTGTGTCACAAGCATGTCCTTATCCTTAGGAAACTAAACTTTCTAAATTGATTCAGAAAAAACAAGAAGTTTAAAGGTAAAATTATTTAAAGGTATAATCTTTAGCTGCCTTACCAGCAGAGGTAGGAAAATAATTGCAGAAAATATTATTGACTCAAAAGACCAAAGAGAAGGAGAAAAATAGAAACAAAGGTAAATGATCATAAATCAAAAATACAAATTAAGATGATGAAAATAGAGATAAATATATCCTTAATCACAATAAATATAATTGATTATGCTTAGCTATTGAAGAACCTAGATCTTTAAATTGGTTCATGTGAATACACTTTGTGTGTGTGTGTGTGTGTGTGTGGTGAGAGAGACAAGAAAGAGAGAGACCTATAGACTGATTGATTGATACAGATAGATGTCTATATAACCATATATATGTATGTAATATCAAGTTATATGTTCTTTAAAAGAAAAACACCTGAAAAAAACCACACAGAAAGGAATACTGATGTAACAATATTTACATCAGACAAAATAGATGTTAAGGGAGAAAGCTTTATTGAAAAACAGAAGGAAACAATATAATAATAAAAGTAATAAAATAAGACGTTATAACAATAATGAACTTAAATATGCCAACAACATACACTTGAATACACATAGTGTCACACACACACACACACAAACACACATACAAATAGACAAAATCATGGCAGAAATTTACAAATCCACAATTGTAGTAGATATATTGTCACATTTCTATAAGATAGTAATAGATCAAGTGAGAAAAAAATAGCATGGACTTAAAAATCTGAACCACAAAACTAACAAGCTTGAGCTAATAAATGCATTTTCAGAACTGACCACATTCTAGCTCATAAAAGATATCTTAACAAATTACAGAGATTCAGAACCATACAAGTCACATTCTCTAACCATAAATTGATTAAGTAACAAATAAAATAAAACATAATTTTAAAATTTCATATCCTAGGGAATATAAAGTTCAAATCTTAAATTACTGATGAAATAAAGAGGAATCACAGTGGAAATTATTTAGAATGAGATGTTAGTGAAGTTAGCACATGCAAAAACTTACAGGAAGCAATTCAAGTGGCACTTGTATAATTTTTTTCAATAAGAAAAATGGAAAATAGATACATTAAACCCAAAAACATAGGAAAAGAAAATACAAATAAACCTATAGAACACAGAATTAATAAATAAGAAAAAAATATAAAGAATTAAGACCTCCAAAACTGGTCTTTAGAAAAATCTAATGAAATACACAAATCTCTAGCAAGACAAATAAGAAAAATAACATGAATATACACAAATAAACATTATCAGGAAAAATGAGAGAAGATGTAACTGCAGAAACAGTGGAAATATTTAAAAGAAAATATTAAAATACAATATATATTCTAATTAATTTTCAAAAATGTAGATGAAATGGTATAATAGTCCATAAAATATTAATTATTAAAATTTTCTCAAATGAGTAACCATTTAAAATGTTGACTATCAATTATTCTATTGGTGGGGGTTGAGAATGGGGTAAGAATGTAAGAGGACATGGTTTTAGAAGCAAGTTATAACAAATTTACAAGGAACAGATAATCTCTATTTTATAAAAACTGTTTTAGATAATTGACAATGAAAGAAAGTTGCTGAATACTTCTAGAAAGCTAGTTGACCCCAAAATAAAAAAGGACAATATAATTATAGTCCAAATTTACTTACGAATAGAGATACAAAAATATTAGTCAGCTGAATTTAGTCATTTTCATATTGATCAAGTTGGGTTTAGTACAAGGATAGAAGAATGGTTGAATATCAGAAAATCTACTGATCTTTTACACAACATTAACAGATTAAAAGAAAAATGTTTGTCTAACTGATGCACAATTTTTTTGATAAATTGCAACATTTACTCACTTATGATTAAAATTCTTGGTAAGCTAGGCATAAAAGAAAACCTCTTTAACCTGGAAAAGAGTTTCTATCAAAAAGTTGGATCAAACAGTACATTAGTTATAAAACTGTTAATCCAGTTTCATTAAATCAGGAACCACGTGCTCCTTAATCTCCATTGTTATGCAGTTTTATACCTGAGGATGCTATCTAATATAACTAGCCCAGAAAAGGAAATAAAACTTGTAGGAATTGGAAAAGAAGAATCAAAGCTTCACTCTCCTGCTCAAAGTTTCCCTATCTTCATCTGAACTCACCTCATCCAACATGTACCTTCACTTTTAAGGAATCAAGTCACCACTCTCCTCTGCTTTGAGTCAGAGATACCCTCTCTTCTAATTGTCAGAGAGAAAAGCAGTTAACTTGATGCTCCATGGGTAGGGGGAGGAAGATATCAACAGGTTTCCTTTTCTGATTTGTAGTTGATTTTTGCGTAAGAGGCTAAAACTTTCTGACACATTACACATGATGAAAATAAGCTTTCTCCCCAAATCCCTCATCAAGCTTACGAGATTTTCTCCAGTTATATAAATTTGTACTTATTATTATTTGTCCTTTACTAGCCTCAGGATTCTAAAACAAAACTTGGTAAAGAAGATCTCCATAATAATCACTTAACCCAATTTCTTATGATTTTCTTCTGACCAGCAGACAAAGGCTATCATCCTAAAATATAATTATTTCAACATAAAAGTTCTTTAAAAATGTGGTTATTCTTTGACCTACTGATTATACTTTTAGAAATTTATTCTGAGGAAAATAACACATGTTGTACAAGGATATATATCTCAATACTTTTATAATAGTAAAAAATTTGAATAATGTACATGTTTAACAATATGGAATTGATTAAGTTATAGGCTATTAATCTCATGAAATGTTTTGCAACCAATAAAAAATCATGTTGTAGTAAAACATTTGCTGACATGAGAAAAATGTTTTTGATATCTTGCTAAGTGATAAAGCAGACTACTAAACCTTGTTTGATAAATTATACTATCATTTTGATGATAGTTACATGACTGGGAAAATACTAAAAAGACCTACAACAAACATCTGAATTTTCTTCTTTCAGAATGGTGCGATTATAAGGTATTTTCTGCTTATTTGTTTGTTTGTTGTTTTTCTTTGTGCCTTTTCATGTGTTCCAAATGAGAAAGAAAAAGAAGCCCCTGAGAGCTATCAGCTGGAAGCTGGACTGGCTCTAATAGCTGCATCATACTGTTCTCCTGATGAACATAATTTCACACTGCACCAACAGCATGTGACCTTTATCTGTAACCATGATGAAGTAAAACAAACACAGGACCACTCTGTAAACATGTCTGAGCACAGACAAAAATAAAAACGCTGTGCAAACCACAAAGAGCCAAATATGAGTGACTTCAACTTCCTTGCTGACTATAGTGTTTGTTAACCTACTCTGTTCTCCTACCTCCTAAGATAAAAACTTGTAATATAATTATAGAATTCCCCTTCTTCCACTTCCTCCCAATCCACACATCCTCGAACCCTACCCAAAATACCCAACACAAGCTAATCCTAACGAGCCCCTGTAACAGCCTCTTACTGCTATGGTTTTCAGCAGCCTCCCTTGCTACAGCAAAATCCACAAATCTAACTTTTAGAATAGGTGTGTTTCTTGTGGTATTTGGCCAAAGATGGTCATTGACATAAGTTGTATGCATGGAGCATGTGTTCCTTTTGCAATTAAAGATAAAAATATTTAAAATTGAATAATCTCCATCCATTAATATGTCAAGTGACTTCAACCTCCAGAAAAAAGGTGGACTCTCAGCTACCTACCACTGGGCTCTTGCATTCACAACCAGCCAGTCCACCAACCTGCCACAGGAGCTGAGGTCCTCAGGTGTCATCGGCTTTGAGGACCATCAAAGGCATTGCAGGCACATGCAAAACAGTGTTTCTCAAAAGCAATACTAGTGATATTTGGGCCAGACAATTCTTTTTGTGGGACTGTCCTATATATTGTAGGATGTTTAGCAGCATCTCTGACCACTACCTACTTGATGCAAGTAGGACCCCTCTTGTGACAACAAAAAATGTCTCCAGACAATGTCCCCTAAGAGGGAGGAAGGGAAAAAATTGCTCCCAGTTGAGAATCATGAATGCAAAGGAGGCCGGTGAAAAGAGGAAAGATATTGCATAAGTTATTAGAAGGACTGGGGATGGTCTTCTCCCTCCCTGGGCCATGGATTCTTCATCCTTGAAAATGGAGGTAGTCAGTTCTGCCTACCTCATGGAAATAGTAAGAAGAAGGGATAGAAAAGATAGAAATAGGCTTGAAAGTAGCTAAAGAGATAACTATTTAGTCAGTAAAGATGTATCAAATGCCTACTGAGTGCTAGATATAGAGAAAGGGTATTCTAATACCATCAAAGAGTACAAACTGAAAGCATGCAAAGGCCCTAAGTCTGATTGTATGTACACAGGAAAATGACAAAATGGAGTTATTATGGATCGTTTAAAATAGCAAAACATAGCAATCGTTATAACGATGTATTCAGAAATAGTCATATAACTAAGGCAAATTTTTGTAATTTGGATTTGTCCAATGTAGCTTAGTAGGGAGAACCAATTTTCATCTAAGAAATAAGAATCAAATTATTTCTTCTGAAATCAGTCCTTCAGAGAGTGTTCTTAATTTTGGCTTCAATTTTAATGCAGAACTGCAAACTCCATTCAGGTATCTCTGAGTCATTCTTGACTGATTTTTTTGAATGGGTAGAAGGTGGGAAGAAAATAAGCAAAGAGAAATGTAACACAATATGTTCATGTGTGCTTATATGCTGGGAACAATCTTCTTTGGAGCTTCTAAATGAGTAAGAATAACAGGACAACAGTCAAAAATGGAGAAATATAGAGTCACAACATAATAATTTGAATAGCTTTTAAGTAACAGTAGCATAAGACCAAAATTACTACATGGAAAGATGACTGAATGCAAGTGGCATAGTTTACAGTATAAGCTCCATAGGACACTTTAAAAAGATATTCTAAACAATAAAATTTAGCCTCAAAATTTTAACAAAATATTCTCTTTCTAAATACAATGGGTTTTTTGTTTGTTTGTTTGTTTGTTTTTTAATTTATTTTTTTTTTAGACGCAGTCTTGCTCTGTCGTTCAGGATGGAGTGCAATGGTGCAATCTCGGCTCACTTCAACCTCTGCCACCTGAGTTCAAGTGATTCTCCTGCCTCAGCCTCCCGAGCCACTGGGATTACAGGCACCCACCGCTGCACCCAGCTAATATTTGTATTTTTAGTAGAAGCGGGGTTTCGCCATGTTGGCCAGGCTGGTTTCGAACTCCTGACCTCAGGTTATCCGCCCGCCTCGGCCTCCCAAAGTGCTGGGATTACAGGTGTGAGCCAGCACGCCCAGCCGGGTTTTGTTGTTGTTGTTGTTGTTGTTTTTCTGAAAAATAGAAATCAGCTATTTCCATTTATACATATTTTATTGAAATGTGCTGTGAGGGACCTTTTTAACCACCCTCAAACAACCAAATGGAAGACTTGCCCTTCTTTGCAAAGGATGAGATGTTTCTTATCTCACTTTTTAAAATGTAGAAACAGGGCTGATCCGGGGTTATAAAACAAGCTTTCACAAAACTGAGAAGCCAAGATTAAAATCTTTCTCCTGCATGGTAATTTAATGCAATAGTTACTATAGGAAAACAAGACAGTTAAAAAATGGATTCAAGTGTTGAAAGATGTTACATTGGGATGTGTAAAGGAATCCAGGGATAACCTGATCTCAGTAGATAACTGTTTGAGCTTTGGGGGTTTTATTTACATTGTGGTGAATCAGAAAAAAAACCTTTGGGAAACGGCTTCGTGACTACCTAGTATAGCCTTTAACAGAGCTTAAGACAACACAGGCTTCTAGCTCCTCCCAGCTCCCACCTCAGCTCCACAACTCACAGAAACTGCTCCCCAGTACAGGAACCTGATATCAGTACTCCTTTTTCCTTCCTGCCAAAGCGTCCCATTTTCCCATACAAAAGTATCTGGCAAAATTATAAAATAAATGAAATAAAGAGAAAATGATCCGGGATAATTTCAAGACACTGAAAGGTTTACACAGGGAAAGAGGAAATTTTATCATTTGATGTTTGCATCTAAGTAGAAAACTTTACACAATCATCTGACCCAGTTTTATCATCTTTCCTTTGTCTTTTTTTTTTTTTTTTTTAAGAAATATTCCTGCTGGCAAATAAGCCTTTTTGGTCAGTATTGTAGACAGTAGGCTATGCCTATCTTCCTTCAGAAAGTTGCACTTGATGCTTCATAGATACTTTAATACACGATTGTTTTCAGCACTGATACATTTCACTTTGTTTATTTCTATTTCCAATAAAAGATAATGAAAAGTAAGGAAACGTGCTATTAAAGTTGCATCCTTGTGCTACTACTTGACTCAATCTTTACATCTAGATGCTCACATGGCGTGCCCATTTACTATGGTGCTGCACCATCATGCTGAGGCAATCGGGACTTAGGATGTCTAAAGGATGGGTTCCTCATCATGGGGTGATTAAATAATGGGGAGAGGGAGCCCAAGCCTCTAGGAGGAGGAAAATGCCCACAAAATAGGAGATTCTTGCATACTTGGAGATGTTTAAGCGTCTATCTGCTACTTGGAAAGCCACTTTCCACCCTGGAACTACCTGGCACTTAATATACATGAAGTGTGGGTGTTCCACTCTTCTAATATTTCAGATAAAGGTGGTTGAGACCTTTTAGCAGCTTGTAATTTTTTGTAATTTTAATCATTCACAGTAACATGGACTTCACTAGACTGTTGATTATCAAACTGTCTACACATTTGAATAGCCTGGAGAGCTTTTTTAAAAAGTACCTATGCCTGTGCCCCAGAAATCCTGATTTAGTTAGTCTGGTGTGGGCCTTTGGCATCTGTATTTTTTGGGAACTTCTCAGGTGATCCTAATGTTCATCCAACATTGAGAACTGCTGGATTAGACTCTGTCTCTCTCTCTGATCTACTGAACCAGAAGTTCTTGGAAGAAATCCCTGGCAATATGTGTTTCCCAAGCACACTCTCAGTGCTCTGATTTCAGCAAAAAATTTCCAAATTCAATATTTATTAGGTTTTCTCTATAACCCTGTGCAGTGGACTATGAAGATGCTTTCTCCCTTATGCAGATGATGAATCAGTGGCTCAGAGAGGTTAGATGATTCACCCAAGTTCACCTGGCCAGAACTGACAGCCTGGGCCAGGACTTCTGACTCAGTAACCTTCATCCTGCTCCTGCTGAATGCATAGAATGTCAACTACATAGGTGTAGTTTGGGTCTCACTGTTGACTAGGTGCTTAATAAGTCTTCATGCTTTCATGATATTTCCGAGTCTTCTTTGTTGACAGATGGCAGAGATTTCTTTTGTTCTAATAAAAGTGTCTCAAATTGTGCATCCCCTTAACATTTCCTAGTCCCCTTCCATACTTTATTTTTCTTCTCCGCCCCATCTAGCATACCTTATATTTTACCATTGTTTATTTGGCTTCTGAGTCTGTAAATGACTTTACTGTCCCCCATGGCTTCCGCACAATGCTAGAGGAGTCGCTTGGGCTTCTCTCTCTTCGATAGAGGCCCTGGAAACCTCCACTTGGAAGAGCCCACTCAGTGCTACACAAGCCCCAACCCCAGCAAGCTGGGGCCCTGGAGCAGCAGCCGCTGGCCCCCTAACTACAGTCATTGTGCTCTTATTGTATGCAGAATATTGTGAGATTGGCAGGCAGCAAGACCTACAGGTAAGTCCCTACCCTGTTAGTTTGTCTGATTTATTGTGTCTCTAGCACTAGGTATTTTTAATGTTATTCACTCTTTTATTCCCAGAATCTAGAGGCAGTCCTTAGGATACAGCTTTTGAATGAATAAGTGGTTGAGACAATGGAAGCTCCTTCATCTCTAGTTAACAGGCTATGTCTAGGCCTCTTGGTTCTTCCTAGGAACAGTCCTGTGTTATTTCCTAAACTAATGGTCAAACTGGCCCAGTTTCTGGCTCTGTTTTTTCTTTAATATGATTTGTTAAACATACTTCTCATGTGCTGTTGAGCTAGCTTGTCAGTTTTATAATTAACACAGAAACAAATGGAGCCATCTTTTGTTGCTTTCATCAATAAAAGAGTACCTGTGAGACTACACCAAAAAAGAAAAATTGTGAAAGTTTAAGTCCTTTCTCAATGCATATATATGCCATTCATTCTTTTTCCCATTATTTATTGGGTTCTGGAGATCAACGACTTCCTGAAGGAGAGCCAGGACAGGAACTCCATTCATCAGAGCTTTGAAACAGCATGAGGAGAATGGATGTGCCTTTGGCCTGGAAGAAATGAAGCATTTCCAAATATTTCATTCCGTTTGATGAAGAGACAGAGCTGGTTTCAGGAAAGTGGTTTGTTTTCTCTAGAGGTTATATTGAAATGTTTTCTGGCATTTCACTTAATAATGAAAATGGCAAAATAAATATGCATTAGTCTGTTTTACTTGAGGCAGGATCAATGAATCCTCTGACATGCTGGGCACACCATCAGCTTACCAGCAGAGATGGTAAATGAATAAATAGGAATAGATGCAAATCAGCATACCCATCAATATGTATAATCTGGGTTCTAGGAAGAGAATTTCCAATTCCCCTTTAATTCTACTGTGTACCATTATTGGTGGACTTTGCCAGACTAAAAAAAATAAAACACAAAACATCCACACTGAACCTTGAACATATCCTTATATAAGAGTTTTTATTCCATCAGCAATAAAGCATCCTCAGAGGACCCAGAAGCCCACATTCCTGAGGACAGTGCTTGACACTGATTGATTGCTTTCTAATATATTTTCCAAGCTACCTGGTTCAGTCTTCTGACCACAAATATAACTAAAAAATCTCGCCAGTCCTTCTGAGTCATCCCTCGTGACTACTCCCATCTGCACTCTGCACTTCACTTGCCTGATACTGCTTCACTTGACCTTCCTAATTCACCCATTTGGGTTGACGTGATGCTCTGTAAATATCCCTCTACTTGTCTCATGGACCCTGGATGGTGCCACTATACCTTTTGAGGGTGAAGGAGTCTCCTGTATGTCTTTCTACCCTTAAGACTTACAAGAGTCTGCACATAGCAGGAACACAATGACTGCAGTCAGAGGGCCTGCGGCTGCTATTCCAGAATAGCCCAGCTTGCTAAGATTGACATCATGCAATGCAGTGCTGAGTGGGCTCCCAGGAGAGGTCCCCAGGCCTCTAACTCAGAGAGAGAAGCCCAAGCTACTCCTCAGTACTGTATGACAGCCACTGGGGGCAGTAAAAGCATTTTGCAGAATGAGGAGCTGGGCAGGGCAGTAAACAAGAAAGATCTGTCTATGCAGCGCCTAATAAGATGGCAGGTTGGGCCCCTGTTCTTCCTGGCTGTTTTGGCTTTACCTTGATAGTCAGAGAGCATAATTCTGGAGAAATGAGTTGGGTTCCCATTTTTGTGTTATACCACCTTTCTGCCATCCTTCCACCTTCCTGTATGGTTTCCTTTCCTTCCTTTCTGCTTTCCTTGCTCTTCTTTCCTCACCCACTCTTCCCCTTTTTCCTTTTCTGTCTTCACTATTCATGGAGAGTTTTCCACAAGGCTTTTCATGCAATGCTATGCAGATTCAAAGGTGAGCAAGACTTGATCTCTGCCTTCCAGAAATGTAAAATCTCCTTGGGGAGATGCAACCTGAACACAGGCAGGAACTCGAGGCAGCAGTCAGATGAATGGAGTGTTTAATCTTTATGAAGATGTGGATAATGTTAGGGGAACTGTAGGGGATGATGAAGTACCCAGCAATTAGTAACAAAGGGAAGCTATTACCATCCCTAAGCCCAAAGGGAAAAAAGAGGAGACTGGAACCTAGAGAAAGCCAGGCTGCCTAGCAGGAGCTGTGGCCTCATGTACTCCACACAAATGCCATCTTGCCCCTCACCTCATTCTGCCTCACCATTCACTCCCCTCCATCCTCTTCCCATAGACCTACTTCAAGCCTTTATCCTCAAGTGTCTGCACTTCTCTCCACCAGAAAACTCCATCTCTATGTACCTGATACCATGGATATACAACCTGGCCTTTGGCCCTTTCTTGTATCTTAGAAGCCAGTGTCTCAGGCTTTGGCCAAGTGATGATGGACAATGTTTTTTCTAAGTGGGAAGGTGCCAAGGGTGAGCCCTGATATCACGAAGAGGGTGGAGAGTGGGAGGAAATGAACACTGTCAATTCCAGCTCTGTCTTTCCACTAGTAAGGGTTGTGTCCAGTTTTCTCACACTTCACCACAGTGTTAATTTCCCTCCCAAGAAAAACCCAGAATAGCCTCATGTGGAGGAGTATACTATTCAGTATATTATTGAGAAATCATAATCCCAGCATCTTTGTTCTCTCTGATCCTACTTATATTTGAAACCACCATATCAACTGAACGTGGGTTTGTCTGAAGTCTCAGGGATATAGCACCAGCCCCAGATTGTTAATTTCTAACCCCCAAACATCTCTCCTGCTGGTTGGGGGTAAGAGAGAGACCCCATCCAATCTGCCACAAACAGATGAAGGAGAAGAGAAATAGAACTGGGAAAGGAAAGGGATTTTTCCTCCTAACTGAAACTTCAGATTCCATTCCATAGTCCAATGACTAAAGTAAATAATAATGTACAGTCATTTCAAAATAGCTAAAAGAGAGGCTTTTAAATGTTCTCGTGACAAAGAAATGATAAATATTTCAGGTAATAGACATGCTAATGAGCCTGATTTGCTCATTCTACAATGTATACATGTATTGAAACATTATTTTGTACCCCATAAATATATATAATTATTAGTCAATTACAAATAAAACAATTTTTTAATTTAAAAAACTTTATGCTTAATATTTTAAGTGTTATTTTAAGAGAACTTGTATATTAGAATCCCTTCAATTTCTTTACTCTTCTGATCCTTAAAGAAATATTTATTTGTGTTATGGGTTGAATTATGTATCACATACCCTCCCCAAAAATTCATATGTTGAAATTTTAACCCTCACAATGTGACCTTGCTGGTAAATAGGGTTGGTACAGATGTAATTAGTTAAGACGAGTCATCCCAGAATTGGGCAGACCCTAATTCAATATGACTAGTGTCCTGATAAGAAAGAGAAATTTGGACACAGACACACACAGGGATAACACCACATGAGGGAGAAGGAAGAGATGGGTGTGATATGCTTCTATAAGCCAAGGAACACCAAAGATTGCCAACAAACCTTCAAAAGCTAGAGGTGAGATCTGAGACAGGCTCCCACTTCATAGCCGTCAGAAGGAACCAACCCTGCCAACCCCTTGATCTTGGATTTCTCGCCTGCAGAACTGGGAGACACTACATTTCTGAGGTTTAAGTCACCAGGTTGGTGGTACTTTGTTATGGTGGCTATAGAAAACTAATACAATTGGAAACCTGATGCTTTAAATACAACTATAAGCATCTGGGCTGTAGGACTGTGGCTGAGCCTAATACAGGAATGGCTTATTCCTGTAATCCCAGCGCTTTGGGAAGTGGAGGTGGAAGGATCACTTGAGCCCAGGAGCTCGAGATCAGCCTGCGCAACACAGTGAAACCCTGTCTCTACAGAAAAATGCAAAAATTAACTGGGCATGGTGGCACACCCCTGTGGTCCCAGCTACTCTGGAGGCTGAGGTGGGATGATCGATTGAGCCTGGAGGCAGAGGCTGCAGTGCGCTGAGACTGCACCACTGCACTCCAGCCTGGGTGACAGAGTAAGATCTTGTTTCAAAAAAGAAAGAAAGAAAGAAATTAAAGAACAAAGGGCAAGGAAAGACGAGAGCAGAAACAGTAACTTTAAAGTGGGAGGCAAATTAACAGCAATAAATCAAAAAAGATAAGACAAGTCAGGTTTTAAGGGACCCTAGATGCTTATCGAATTCATGTCGAACATGACTTCTGTCTTCCAAGAAACTCATCTGTAAAATGGTTCATGTCAACTGCATTTGGATGTGACCAGCAAGGGAACAATAAAAAGCACACAAATCAAAATTACACTGTTTCCTAAACATGCTATGTTGTGAATTTTAATTACATTTAATTACATTGCTATATTTAATTACATTGAGTTTTTATCAATGCAGAATTTCATCAAAATGTCTTTGAGTAATTTCATGGGAAGTACATTTAACAGAAACTGTTTGGCTGATTCTGAAGGAACCATTCTCCAAGCCTGTTTGCCCAACTCAACTCATCAGAACGGGGCTGTTGCCCAGAGCACAGTGTGGGGCTGGATGAAATCAGTGATGGCATTGGCAGGTGATCAGTCAGACTTGTACAGAATATTTCAAATAACTGCTTATATATTACTTTATAAGCTTCTGCAGTTTGGGCTTTAATAGACTCTTAATATTTTAAACACGTTTAAAGTCCACATGCTTTTAGTTTTTACACAGAGGCTGAAAATGAATCCAAGATTTTTTTGTCCTGCTATTGCAATGAGAAGGTGGGAGATTTGTCTTCCGTTCATCACTGGACAGCAGGCCCTGTGACCCATCTTCCTGGGCCCTCACTGCATAGGCACTGCATGACCCAGAGGTTTGCCACATCTGATCATTTGACTCTGGAATGCTCTAAGGACTCCACTGACATTACTACCTTTTGAACACAGACCCCAGAGACCAAGTCCCTGCTTCTCCTTTGAAGATGCAAAGATTCAACATAATAAAGGAGCTGGTCAAGGTCACAGGTGCCCCTGTAGAATTC